>NC_000006.12:10514545-10666060 GCF_000001405.40 Homo sapiens
CCTTGTGGCCTCTGAGGTTCCCTGGAAGTACGTCATCAACACCTGTGGGCAAGAATTCCCCTGAAAACCAACAGGGAAATACGTTCAGTATCTGAGGTTACGGAAAAGGAAAAATATCACCCCCGGGGTGCCGCCTCCTCCTCATATTATCAGAAGGACCAAATACATGCACTTGGAGCAGAGATAGCTTGTTTTCCTTCATGCTGTGGACTTGCATGAGAAAAATGCCTCCTCCCCACCATCTGACAATTTACTTTGGCTCTGCCTATGTGGCCCTTACAAGGGAATTTGCTAATTTTGTTCTTCAAAACCTAAGGGCCATTGATTTACTTGAGTGGTCAAAAGATACTGACTCTCCTGATGAGCATTTCTGGGTGACACTCAGTAGGATTCCAGGTATGTGGAACTTGATTTCCAATCTACATAAAGTCTAAACTCTGTGAGTGCACGCACACGTGTGTGTTACACATTGAAAATGGTCTTGATGAAGTTATGTATACCCATCTGTGTTTCTAGACTTAATGAATATCCTGTTGACTGCTTTCCATATGTTTCAATAAATTAATATAAAATATACTTCTGGCCAGGTGCGGTGGCTCATGCCTGTAATCCCACCACTTTGGGAGGCCGAGGTAGGCAGATCACTTGAGGTCAGGAGTTTGAGACCAGCCTGGCCAACATGGTGAAACCCTGTCTCTACTAAAAATACAAAAATCAGCCAGGTGTGGTGGCACTGGCCTGTAATCCCAGCTACTCAGGAGGCCAAGACAGGAGAATCACTTGAACTTGGGAGGTGGAGGCTGCAGGGAGCCAAGATTGCAGCACTGCACTCCAGCCTGGGTGGCACAGCAAGACTCCATCTCAATGAATGAATGAATAAATAAATAAAATAAATTATGCTTCTATGTGTCACTAAATAGACTGTTAGCTTATAGAACATCCTTATTAAATTTCTGCTGTCATTGTATGTTATGTTTTGTTAAATTTTTTGTTGGTACACAGTAGGTATATATATTTATGGGTTACATGAGACGTTTTGAATCAGTCATGAAATGTGAAATAATCACTTCAGGGTAAACGGGGTCTCCATGACCTCAAGCATTTATCCTTTGTGTTACAAACCATCCAATTACACTTTTATTCCTTTTAAAATGTACGATTAAATTATTTTTGACTTATGTTATGCTAGCAAATACTAGGTCTTATTCATTCTTTCTGTTTTTGTACCCATTAACCCTCCCCCTTTCCCTCCATACCCCTACTCCCTTTCCCAGCCTCTGCTCATCATCCTTCTACTCTCTAACTCCATGAGTTCAATTATTTTAACTTTTAGCTCCCACAAACGTGAGAATATGTGAAGTTTGTCTTTCTGAGATCTTTGAATCTCTGATATGACACCCAAAACTTTTTTTTTTTTTTTTTTTTTGAGATGGAGTTTCGCTCTTGTTGCCCAGGCTAGAGTGTAATGCCACAATCTCGGCTCACCACAACCTCCGCCTCCCGGGTTCAAGCGATTCTCCTGCCTCAGCCTCCCGAGTAGCTGGAATTGCAGGCATGCGCTACCACGCCCGGCTAATTTTGTATTTGTAGTAGAGACGGGGTTTCTCTATGTTGGTCAGGCTGGTCTCGAACTCCTGTCCTCAGGTGATTCGCCCACCTCAGCCTCCCAAAGTGCTGGGATTACAGGCTTAAGCCACTGCGCCCAGCCCCCAAAACTCTTTTTTAAGCAATGATAATATGTTGTCTAGAAATTCAGTATCTTCAATATGGATTGGATTATTCATTATAATCTCATTTTCTGTGAATCTATATTACACGCATTTGAAAAGTTTGAGATCTGAGAATGTCAATAAAATTTCTATAAGAACAATATGAAATAATGCAAATTTCTCCAAATGAAAAAAGTTTTAAAAATCCATTAAGAATTTCAAGAATTTGGCCAGGCACGGTGGCTCATGCCTGTAATCCCAGCACTCTGGGAGGCCAAGGCGGGCGGATCACAAGGTCAGGAGATCGAGACCATCCTGGCTAACATGGTGAAATCCCGTCTCTACTAAAAATACAAAAAAAATTAGCCGGGGTTGGTGGCGGGCGCCTGTAGTCCCAGCTACTCGGAAGGCTGAGGCAGGAGAATGGCGTGAACCCAGGAGGCGGAGCTTGCAGTGAGCCGAGATTTCGCCACTGCACTTCAGCCTGGGCGAGAGTGCGAGACTCCATCTCTGAAAAAAAAAAAAAAATTTTTTCAAGAATTCAGAACCATCTTCCAGGTGAACTGTCTGTCAACTGTGTTTGGGCCATGTCCACATGCTGGCCTCACTTGGATTGATGGGTAGAAACCCTCTGTGGGCCAGCCTTCATGAGTCTTCAGGAAGTCATCCTTCGTATAAAATTTTAAAATCCTCTACTAGTTATCCGTGGGCAGAACATTTTAAAACATTCTTTTCTTATTATAAAATTCAATCTTACTGCGGAAACTCTGGGAAAAACAAAAGCATAAACAAGAAAGTAAAATCTACGCATTATACAAAACTGAGAAGTAATTTCTGTTAGCATTTTAGCATTATTTACCTCTTTCTCTGTGTATTGCTTCATGTAGTTAGGTTATACTGATGATGTAATTTTTTTATCCTGCTACTTTCATTTAACACTATATCATAATAGTTTCCCTATGTGATTAAAAATATGACATATTGTATTTTATCATAGTATGGATGTACCATAGTTTGCTTACCAATTCCTCAATAGTTCGTTTTTTCCTTTTTTTTTTTTTTTTTTTTTTTTTGAGACAGGTTCTTGCTCTATCACCCAGGCTGGAGTGCAGTGGCACAATTTCGGCTCACTGCAACCTCTGCCTCCCGGGTTCAAGCGATTTTCCTGCCTCAGCCTCCTGAGTAGCTGGGATTACAGGCTTGAGCCACTGCGCCCCACCTAATTTTTAAATGTTTTGTAGAAGTGGGGTCTCGCTATGTTGCCCAGGATGGTCTCACACTCCTGGGCTCAAACTATCCTACTGGCTCCGCCTCCTTTTTTTTTTCTGAGGCGGAGTCTCACTCTGTCGCCCAGGCTGGACTGCAGTGACGTGATCTCTGCTCACTGCAAGCTCCGCCTCCTGGGTTCACGCCATTCTCCTGCCTCAGCCTTCCGAGTAGCTGGGACTACAGGCGCCCGCCACCACCCCTGGCTAATTTTTTTGTATTTTTAGTAGAGACGGGGTTTCACTGTGTTAGCCAGGATGGTCTCGATTTCCTGACCTTGTGATCCGCCCGCCTCAGCCTTCCAAAGTGCTGGGATTACAGGCATGAGCCGCTGGCCCGGCTGGCTCCGCCTCCTGAAGTGAGGGGATTACAGCCTCGTTCCTAGTTTTTTACTGTGTAAAATGTTATTTTAGTCAATACTGAATAACATCAAAAGTAAGTAACATCTTTTCACATAAGCTTCGCCACATTTTAGTATTATTGTCTTTGGAATTAAAATTCACTGGATTGAAAGATAGCCACATTTAAAATTCTTGATACATATTGCAAAATTGCTTTCCAAAATATATTCTAATTTTCCATCAGTCCACCAGTGTGTGATCACACGTCTGCTAACAGTGGTATTCTAATGTATTTATTTTATTTTTGAGACAGTCTCTCTGTCCCCCTGGCTGGAGTGCAGTGGTGCTATCTCAGCTCACTGCAACCTCTGCCTCTCAGGTTCAAGAGATCCTTCTGCCTCAGCCTCCCAAGTAGCTGGGACTACAGGCATGTGCCATCACACCGGGCTAATTTTTTTTGTATTTTTAGTAGAGAGGGGGTTTCACCATGTTGGCCAGGCTAGTCTCGAACTCCTGGCCTCAAGTGATCTGCCCGCCTCGGCCTCCCAAAGCGCTGGGATTAGAGGCGTGAGCCACCGCACCTGGCCTAATGTATTTCTTTTAAAAAATTACTTGAATTAAACAGAAAAAGAACTGCGCTACTCTTGTTATTTATAATTTGTTAAAGATGAATATATTTTAAAGGTATGTTAGCCATTTTTCTTGTTCTTTGTGGGTTGCCAGTTTTCTGGGTGGCAGGCACAGAATTTCAATGCTCTATTGTTTGTGATGGAGAAGAACAGGTTGGGTGGCCAGGAGGTGAAAGGATAAGGGTATTTCCAGCAAAGAATGGAGGCTGTAAGGAGCTGGCAAGGACTGAGATCATTTGAATAGGCATAATGAAATAGTGAAATAATTAGGTAATTTGCCAAGGAAAAAATCACCCGTTGCTGCGATGATTTGACTTAACTGGCTCTTTCCCAATAAGTAGACCCCGTCTTGAATCTCCAGGACAGTCATCCTTTTTTCCCTACCTTCATCACTAAAGTCTGGGTTTGTAAAATACTGATGTATACTTGGATATTTGATGATTTTATTCTTTGGTTGGTAAAAGGTATAGAATTGTATGGAGCATTTTATTTACCTCTCCAGCAAAATTCCCATGGGCTGGTCTCTATTTTTCATACTTTTGCAAACAGTACAGAATGACAGGCCATGAAGAAATGCTGACTCATGCGCTCATGAGGAAGTTGAATTGTAGATCTGGGCCCAACACACACAATGCAGCGTAAGATGAGGGAGAAGATAACCAGTCACGACCATTAAAATTGTTCCTTTCCAATTAGAAAAAAATAATTCATGACCATTTTATAAAATGTGGAAAATAGGAAAAAAATACATAGAAGAAAGTAAAATTTACCATAATCCTAAAACTCTAAAATAAATGCTGTTAAAACAGTTGGGCTTCTTTTAGTCTTTTCAAAATAGGTCATTTTAAGAATTGTTGATTTGGCCAGGCGGGGTGGCTCACATCTGTAATCCCAGCACTTTAGGAGGCCAAGGTGGGCAGATTACTTGAGGTCAGGAGTTCGAGATCAGCCTGACCAACATGGAGAAACCCCGTCTCTACTAAAAATACAAAAGATTAGTCGGGCGTGGTGGCAGGCGTCTGTAATCCAGCTACTTGGGAGGCTGAGACAGAATTGCTTCAACCCAGGAGGCGGAGGTAGCAGTGAGCCGAGATTGCACCACTGCATTCCAGCCTGGGTGACAGAGCAAGGCTCCATCTCAAAAAAAAAAGAAAAGAAAAAGAAAACAGACGACAGGTGCAGTGGCTCACACCTGTAATCCCAGCACTTTGGGAGGCCAAGGTGGGTGGATCACCTGAGGTCGGGAGTTCGAGACCATCCTGACCAACATGGAGAAACCCCGTCTTTAATAAAAATACAAAAAATTAGCAGGGCATGGTGGCGCATGCCTGTAATCCCAGCTACTCGGAGGCTGAGACAGGAGAATTGCTTGAACCCAGGAGGCAGAGACTGCGGTTAGCCAAGATCGTGCCATTGCCCTCCAGCCTGGGCAACAAGAGCAAAACTCGGTCTCAAAAAAAAAAAAAACGAAAAAGAAAAGAAAAATAATCATTGATTTGGGCCGGGTGTGGTGGCTCACGCCTGTAATCCTAGCACTTTGGGAGGCCAAGAGGGGTGGATCACTTGAGTCCAGGAGTTCAAGATCATCCTGGTCAACATGGTGAAACCCTTTCTGTACTAAAAATACAAAAATTACCCGGGCATAGTGGTGGATGCCTGTAGTCCCAGCTACTCAGGAGGCTGAGGCAGGAGAATTGCTTGAACCTGGGAGGCAGAGGGTGCAGTGAGCTGAGATTGTGACACTGCACTGGGTGACAGAGCAAGGCTCTGTCACAAAAAAAAAAAAAAAAAAAAAAAGTTGATTTGCTATTTCTTCAGTTTATCCTGGCTTTATGACTGGAAAAAAATTTTTTTTAACTCAGTTGGATTTTTTCTTTTTTTTTTTTTTTTTTTAAGTTGATGTCTCACTATGTTGCCCAGGCTGGTCTCAGAATTCCTGGGCTCAAACAACCCTCCCGCCTCAGCCTCCCTAGTAGCTGAAACTGCAGGTGCACACCACCATACCCTGCTTTATCCCCACTGAATTTTATAAGCTGCTTCTGACTGCAAAGTGTTTGGCAGAAGAGAGGGATATGGCTAAATGCACGGTATGACTAGCTTGTTTCCTGGGACAGGAATCAGTTCATTCCTGAAAGGGTATGTAAAGAGCCCGTTTGCCTGGCCTAGGAAAAGCCAGAGGTTCAGAGAGAGGAAGTGACTTGCTCAAGATATACAGCTTGCATTAGAGAGGAGAGAACTTGCCTTCTGAAAATGCCCAGGGCATTTTCTACTAAATTCTGCTGCCACCTTAGGATTCCCCTTCCCCAGTGTGGGTAGCATTTGAGCAGAACACATATCTAAATCTGTTAGAGGTTACCCTGGGGCAGAGACTATAAGATTTCCTACCAATAACTAAACATAAGAGTGGAACCTTAAACACGAGGGGTCTGTGAGGGAATCCAAAACTTCCCCTCTTGAAAAAGCAGCCTCTAAGGGGGCAAAATGGAGGGTAGTCTTAGGAAAACACCCAAATAATTATCCTGAGGTCTATCTTGGAGTGTCCTCATGAAAAACCCAGTTACACCCAGGGCAGTTACCTTTCTGAGCGGTTTCTTATAACATTCCTGGAGTGGAAAGTGATCAACTCAAAGCCCTCCAGGACTCTAGAGGCAGGGGATGAGCTGGTGTCAGGTAGCACCTGGTATCCAGCAGCTTAAAAAATCCAGACTCTAGGCAGGCTCTCTGTAGACGTGTGTTCTCCTGTCTCAGACTCTTAGGGCAGGCCTTGGGGGTGGGACTGAAAGCAAACAGACCTTCCCACTTTCACATTCCAGCCTCTGTTATTCCACTTAAAACGCTAGGGTTAAACTGCGTTTACCTTAAACAGGCTTACTGTGTTCACTGCTGGACGCCTCTGGGCAATCTTACCCTCCTGGGAACTGAGAGAGGTAGGTGGAGGTCAGCGTGCTGGGAAACTGGTGGAGGGAGGAAACTGCGGGGAGCTGGTCTTCTCGTGTTACCTCTGTTAAATCGCTGACAGCAGTTTAAGGTCCAATAGGCTGGTACTCAAATGGGCTGCGTGGATGTTTTATATTTCCAGAACCTAGCACAGTGCCGGGCATAAAGTAAGTACACCAAAAAATGTTGAATGAGTCATTTGGTCATGAGATTTCTGTTTTCAAAGGTTTTTTTTTTTTCAAAGAATAGCATGTTTGTATGTTGTTTCATTACATGATGGGCCTACTGGGCACGAGGGTTTTCCATCTGTCTCTAAATCATTAGTATCCTTCTGTATCTCAGTTACAACTTTTAACTTTGTAGGAAAGAACAACGTTCACTTCAGACTTAATGGTTTATGTTTCTCAGTTCCTTCAGGCAAGGGAAAATGTTTCCAGAATTTGATAAGGTACTTGGTACTGTCTGGCATTTAAATTTTTTTTTTTTTTTCCAGACATAGTCTCACTCTGTCACCCAGGCGAGAGTACGGTGGTGCGATCTCAGCTTACTGCAACCCCCACCTCCTGGGTCCTGCCTCAGCCTCCTGAGTAGCTGGGACTACAGGCATGCACAACCAAGCCCGGCTAATTTTTGTATCTTTAGTAGAGATGGGGTTTCATCATGTTGGCCAGGCTGGTCTCAAACTCCTGACTCCATGTGATCCACCTGCCTCAGCCTCCTGAAGTGCTGGGATTACAGGCGTGAGCCACCGTCCACAGCCTGAAATGTATTTTATTTAATTAGTTGCTGTGAGGTATGAACATTCCTGTGAGGTATGAACCTCATTTGATAATAGGTAAAATTGAAAATGAAGCTCTGGGCCATGTAGAAAAGTAGTAGATCCATATTGCCATTCTATGAAAACCCATCTTCTGATATTAAAGACAGGTCTACTAAGTAAATTCAGGTTTTGCCAAACTCAAAGCTACTTTTCTGTTTTCCTTATTTTTAAATGTAGGCCTTTGAGAGTCGTCACTTGTAAATAGTCTTTCTGCACCTGGTAGTAGATTGGCCAAATAGAGGGTAGTTACCTGTAGGCTGTGGTTTTCCAGAAGAAATAGGGAGACTGTAATCCCAGGCCCTGGGGACCCTACAGCGTAAAGGATCTGTTTCTTTGCACTCTGTTCTGATTGAACAGCATATTGCAATTATCGGAAGAAGGGAGGCTATATTCTTTCATGTAATTATTCTTAGTGATCAGAAGCTTGAGGTCTCCCTTGTGGAAGTATTCTACCTATGGCAGTAATTTTTGGTTCCTGTAACTTCAAAATCCTATCAAGGACTTTCTGAGCGATAGAGGTCGGGAGGGTAAGAGCAAAACTCCATCCAGAAAGGTGAAAACAACAAACAAAGCCTCGGGCACGGAGATTGGGCTGCTGTTCTAGCTTCTCATAATATCCCATTTATAGAATACACTCAATCCTCAACTCCAGGGTAACTTTCTGCAACAGTAAAATTAGACTTAAAACGAATGAGGTTCTCCAGCTCTGGCTTCTCCCGGAGACCCTGGCTTGGAAAGCCTGGAGTTGTCAGATATCTTTTCATGTGCAAACGCAGGCGGAAAGTGCCTTTAAGGCCTCGACTCCGCCTAGTAACTGAGCTGCTATTTAACTTTGCTCAGTCTTGCATTGCCTCAAAGTTATTTGACTGAGCTTGAAAAGACCAGCTTTCAGCCAGGCGCGGTGTGGCTCATGACTGTAATCCCAGCACTTTGGGAGGCCGAGTCAGGCGGATCACCTGAGATCAGGAGTTCGAGACCAGCCTACCAGCATGGTGAAACCCCATCTCTACTAAAAAGAAAATACAAAAATTAGCCGGGTGTGGTGGCACATGCCTGTAACCCCAGCTGCTCGGGAGGCTGAGGCAGGAGAATTGCTTAAACCCGGGAGGCAGAGGCTTCAGTGAGCCGGGATGGCGTCATTACACTGCAGACGGGGCAACAAGAGCGAAACTCCGTCTCAAAAGAAAAAAAAAAAAAAAAAGACCAGCTTTCTCTTATAGTTTCCTATTACTTTTTTTCCCAGCTATTTTTTGTTAAACGATCACAACCCACTTCATTTCCCCCTCGTAGCCTCTTCTTCCCCACAGCTTTCCATCCAGGTCTGGAATTAGCTCTGACTTCTCTAGAAGCCCTGAGCTGAGCACGTTAGGTGCCCTACCTCCAGAATCCTCCCAGCATGGCCTGGAGATTGCTGTTGTCTTGACTCTAGACTTGAAAAACCAAGGCCGGGCGCTGTGGCTCATGCCTGTAATCCCAGCACTTTGGGAGGCCGGGGTGGGCGGATCACGAGGTCAGGAGATCGAGACCATCCTGGCTAACACGGTGAAACCCCGTCTCTATTAAAAATACAAAAAAATTAGCCGGGCTTGGTGGTGGGCGCCTGTAGTCCCAGCTACTCGGGAGGCTGAGGCAGGAGAATGGCCTGAACCCGGGAGGCGGAGCTTGCAGTGAGCCGAGATCGCGCCACTGCACTCCAGCCTGGGTGACAGAGCGAGACTCTGTCTCAAAAAAAAAAAAAAAAAAAAACCAAGACTAAGAGGTGTGGTGATCTGGCTAGGAAGGAAGCCACAGTTGGGAGTTGGAGGCTCTAAGTAACAGCAGAGCCCCTTACAGCCTGCGAGATCCATGCTGGATCTTGGTTTGTTTTTCAACAAACGGGTGTTGTTTTCTCAAATTCACTCCAAGAGGAAGCTGTGATTATAAATCAAATGACTTATTCAACGGCTCCAAGCCTGTTAAGAGTGGCCTTGGTCCACGGAAACTTTCTGACACATAATCCAGGGCTTTTTTTTTTTTTTTTTAGACGGAGTTTCGCTCTTGTTGCCTGGGCTGGAGTGCGATGGCACGATCTCGGCTCACCGCAACCTTCGCCTCCCGGGGTTCAAGCGATTCTCCTGCCTCAGCCTCCTGAGTAGCTGGAATTAACAGGCATGCGCCACCACGCCCGGCTAATTTTGTATTTTCAGTAGAGACAGGGTTTCTCCATGTTGGTCAGGCTGGTCTCTAACTCAATCCAGGGCTCTTTTTAACCATACTATTTAAGCCCTGTTGCTGGAAGCCTGTGGTTATAACCTATGCTTAAAAAGAAATAGTGATGAGGATAAAGCAGGGTACCGAACTTGTCAAGAGAAAACACATAAATAAGAAAGAGCAGGCAGAGAGGAGGACAGGAAAAGGTTGTCTTTTTGAAAAAGGACAAAATGATACAAAAATTAGCCAGGCATGGTGGTGCATACCTGTAAGCCCAGCTACTTGGGAGGCTGAGGCAGGAGAATCACTTGAACCTGGGAGGCCGAGGTTGCAATGAGCTGAGATTGTGCCGTTGCACTCCAGCCTGAGTCACAAAAGCAAAACTCTGTCCCCCACCCCCCAAAAAAAAGAAAAGGAAAGAAAGAAAAGAAAAAGGACAAAATGTGTTGCCCTTCAGATTAAAAACCAGTTTAATCCAAGCTGTTCTTCCTCTGAGACTGCATCAGGCTTTCACAGACACTGAGAAAGTTTCCATCGGCCCACCCCCCCGGTTTCTAATTTGGGCACACAGGTGATGTCATGGTAAAATGAATATGTGAAAAGTGCTTTGGGCATCATATGGTCCATGAATAATTAAGGTGAGGATGATGGGATTCTTGTCTGTAGAAAGGAACCCCTTTTTTTCTGCTTCTCTTTCTACAGTCAGTTATTGAGATTAAACTCTAAGTGCAGTGTCTTAGTGCAATGAAAATTAGTTTACATCCTGGAGAGTGAGAATTTATAAGAGTATGTGTTATGGAGAAATAAGCAATTAGTGATTGAACATAATATACACCCTGCCAGTTATTGAGCAACCAAACTATAAGTCTTTGCTGGTTCCCAATTTGTTCAGAACTCTTTATTTATCCCACCTGATCAGTGCCTCCGACTTAGAATTGGGGGGTATTAATTTTGATCTGAAATTCAACCTGGGATGAACAATCTCGCGTCCTTTTGGTCACTCCCTGATTACCATCTCCTCCCATTATATCACACAAACGCAAGAGCCTAGAGCCCAGAATTGAGGAGAGTGATTACTGATAGATTGTACAAGGGCATTGGGAAAGCTGGAGGGTCTGGAAGACCAGCGTGTCCCATGTGCCTACCAAAATAAAATGCACCAGCTGGCACTGGGTTGATGAAAAAGGAAATAGGTTCATATTAATTCTTTTTTTAAATGTCTAGCATTGTCAAAGATACTATTTTACAGAATCATAAATATTCCAGAGCTCAAAATCAAGGGACCGTCTTAGCATTACAGGTAAGGTACAAGTAAAGACGTATGAACTTTGCTTGTACTTGCAGCAGAGCACAAAATACAAGTGTTCGTTACCCTGCAACTAAATCCAGTGAGTTGTAAATTCGAAGAGCAGGCAAATAATTCAAGATGCTTCTATGTCTGCAATGTCTGGAGGGATAGAACTAGGCCAAGAATGAGGTAAGAGTCAAACAAACACCTGATGTAATTGTCTGGATAAATTAGGAGAAAATATGGTAAAAATTACTTGACTAGTTTAGATAAGCATAATTCAGCATTGACATTTTCATTTAATCATTCCTATAGTATTTCATTTGATATGGACAGGGTCTAAAGAGACGTTAAAAGTCAACTAAAAATTAGAGAAATTTTAGTCATTTCAGAAAAGATTGATTTTGTATGCGTTCTGTATTGAAGAAGTGATTTGTTCAAAAGAATTCTGGATAGACGCATGAAAGATAGTTAAGAAAATAGATATTTGGGTTGATTAAATTCTATTTTGGGGGCCCTATAGGCACAACTGGGTGTACCTGAGTCACGCTGTAGAATCTGATTCCAGAAGCAACTGAGAACTGACTCACTGTGTTCTAGAGAATTTTCCCTGTGTCCTTTCTTGTCATCATTTCCTGTGTTCCTGACACCGTGAAATGGGGTTGGCTGCCGTCTCAATGTGTTCGCTTTTAGCTGGGTTAGCGGAAAAATCAACAGGAATAACTCCAGGTTCTAAAGTAGTGATTGTGAAGATAATACCCAAGGCACACCAAGAAGCACTATGGAAAATGTTATTGTATAATAGTAAGTGCAGAATGCAGGATTTAAGCTTGCATCTTCCTGCGTTCTTTTTTTTTTATTAGAGATGGGGCCTGGCTGTGTTGCCTAGGCAGGTCTCAAACTCCTGGCCTCGAGCTCCTCCCGCCTTGGCCTCCCAAAAGTGCTGAGATTACAGGCGTGAGCCACTGCACCCAGCCTCCCCTGTGTTCTTGATAAAATAAGAATGTGTATTTCCTATAGGCAAGAGGTAAATGAAAGTACAGGACGTGGAAACATTGTGTTTAGAAACTATCTACGATATTATGTCGTCTTTGTGATTAAGAAAATGAGCCAGGTGCAGTGGCTCACAGCTGTCATCCTAAAGCTTTGGGACCCTGAGGTAGGAGGATAGCTTGAGGAGTTCAAGACCAGCCTGGGCAACACAGTAAGACCCCCATCTCTACAAAAGAGTAAATTAATTAATTAATTACATTTAATAAAAGTTAGAAGATACATTGGAAAAATTAGGTTTATTGACTGTACCACATTCACAGATACAAATATATATCTCCTACAAATCAGTATTACCTGGAATTTCTCACTAATGTGATCAGGGAAGCAGGGAAATGAAAACTTGAGCATTCAATCAATAAATAGTTGATTGTGCGGTGGCTCGCGCCTGTAATCCCAGCACTTTGGGAGGCCGAGGCGGGTGGATCACCTGAGGTCAGGCGTTTGAAACCAGCCTGCTCAAAAATGGTGAAACCCCGTCTCTACTAAAAATACAAAAATTAGCCAGGCATGGTGGCAGGTGTCTGTAATTCCAGCTACTTGGGAGGCTGAGGCAGGAGAATCGCTTGAACCTGGGAGGCAGAGATTTCAGTGAGCCGAGATCGTGCCATTGCACTCCAGCCTGGGCAACGAGAGCGAAACTCCGTTTCAATAAATAAATAAAATAAAATAAAAAGTTGCTTGTCTACTACATACAGACAATGCTAGGAGCCAGAAACATGAGGAATACATGAGCTCGGCGCCAATGGAACATGCTTTCACACCGGGTGCAGCTAACCACCACATCATACAAAACTCGTCGCTGACGTTTTAGATGTATAATCTGATTGGCATGGACTCACAGAGGAGGGAGTAAGGGAAGAGTAAGAAGATTTCAAAGGAGAGGTAATTGTGTCATTTATTAGAAGTATGAGTGTGGGGTAAGAGATACGTGTGTATGCATGCGTGTGTGTGAACGGACTTCTTGTTTAGTACCATTTTGCTGCTGCTTTACCACCCCAATCTGTTCCTGGACACGGCGATGGACTCTGTATATGTTATCTCATTTTATTCTCACAATTGACCTCTGGTGGTAAAATTATTCTCATTTTTTACAGATTAAAAAAAAAGCCTCCTTTAAAGCATTTGTAAATCTGGACATAAGAGCCTCTCTCCTAAAATTCAAGACTGAGATGCTCTTCTCTCCTTCCTCTAAGCATCAGGGTTCTCTGTCTGCATCCTATGCGGACCAGGGCAAAATAAACTTGAAATTCACTATGTTAGCCTGTATGCAATTTTGGGTGATGATGGGCTATTGGTCGTTTTGTTGTTTTAAAAAAAGAAGTTAGCCTTTATTCATCCGAGTGCCACAGTCACTTTGTGCAGTAAGTTAGGTGGTGAGGTAAGCTTGCTAATTAATGGGCATTTTAAAGGACTTTACCCAGCAGCAGACAAAATTAAGCCCTGGAAAGAATTTAGCCCAGTAGCCAGTCATATGCCATGTCGTATAGCATACCCAGCCAATGGGGAGAGCGAGGTGTGGCTGTGGAAAAAGACAGGGTTAAGCAATTTTTTTAAAGCACTACATATTTATTGATAGAATATCTCTCCAGGCAGTATTCACATGCTTTAAACTGAAGCTCGTAGCTTGGCAGTGCAGTTTAAGCAAATAAACTCAGGCTGTTGAACACAATGATTAACAGGAAGCAGGGGAGGGGACATAGTTACTAGACTCTGGCCGGGACAAGAGGCTGAGGTTAAGGTCTTAGAGCCGATGACTTGCAGAATGGTCACCTCACCCACTTGTAATTTCATGGTGGGAACAGGTGGACCCCCTGGAATCAGAACCTCTCTGAGGACATCTGTTTTTGTGTAGACACAGGTTGCAGGTTAGCAGGAGAACAGGCAAGCCAAATGCAAAGGAGCCACTTCAGAAATGTGTCACAGAAAAGTGAAAATGCAACCTAGTGGTAAGTGAAGAGGGGAAGAAGAAAGAAAAAGGACCAGAACCGTGAACTGAAGGGACAGGGAACAGCCAGACGAGAGCTTCAGCCATCACGAGGATGATTTCGGAACCTGGAGAAAATGTAAGTTAAATATATCTACACTCTGATCCTATCTCAAGAGAGAGATATTTTACTCATTTCCTGGTTGTGAATGATGGGCTCTTGGAAGCACTGTCTTTTTAGCGCGTCTCTTATCTCTGCCCTGATTTTTGTATTTGTTTACAATACTGAGTTATGGGAGAATAAACGTTTTCTGAGGGCAGCTCTGTCCAATGCTTCACTGTTAGCAGAAGCCTGTCATCAGATTTTTGAGGGGAAAGTTTTTTACCCAACAGAAAATGCATTGAAAACTACCCTTGATGAAGCTACCTGCTATGAGTACATGGTTCGAAGCCACTATGTAACAGAAACACTCTCTGAAGAAGAGGCTGGGTTCCCTTTAGCTTACACAGTGACCATCCACAAAGACTTCGGCACTTTTGAGAGGCTCTTCAGGGCGATTTATATGCCCCAAAATGTCTACTGTGTGCACCTGGATCAGAAGGCGACGGATGCCTTTAAAGGTGCAGTGAAACAGTTACTCAGCTGCTTCCCAAATGCTTTTCTGGCTTCCAAGAAGGAGTCGGTTGTCTATGGGGGGATCTCCAGGCTCCAGGCTGACCTGAACTGCCTGGAAGACCTTGTGGCCTCTGAAGTTCCCTGGAAGTATGTCATCAACACCTGCGGGCAAGACTTTCCCCTGAAAACCAACAGGGAAATAGTTCAGTATCTGAAGGGATTTAAAGGGAAAAATATCACCCCCGGAGTGCTGCCTCCTGACCACGCTGTTGGACGGACTAAATACGTCCACCAAGAACTGTTAAACCACAAAAATTCCTACGTGATTAAAACAACAAAATTAAAAACTCCTCCTCCTCATGACATGGTGATTTACTTTGGCACGGCCTACGTGGCTCTCACAAGGGACTTTGCTAACTTCGTCCTCCAAGACCAGCTCGCACTTGACTTACTCTCCTGGTCCAAGGACACCTACAGCCCCGACGAACATTTCTGGGTGACACTCAACAGGATTCCCGGTATGTACGTCTCTTAACTTTTATTTTTACGAATAAACACTGCATGGTCAATACTAAATAAGTTGCTTTGAAAAGAGTGGAAAAAATGGGACAAACTTCTTTACGGTTTTAAATGTCAAATTAAAAAAAAAATTTCATCTGTAAAATGGTAAAATGGAGATGTGTTATATCACCCACTCTTGTGAACCGCTCTGTTCACAGGACAAAAGACCGAAGGAACACTGGCCATATAAATAAAAACGTGACCGAGCACAGTGGCTCAAGCCTGTAATCACAGCACTTTGGGAGGCGGAGGCAGGTGGATCACTTGAGGTCAGGAGTTTGAGAGCAGCCTGACCAACATGGTGAAAACCTGTATCTACTAAAAATACTAAAAAAATTAGCCAGGCGTGGTGGTGCATGCCTGCAATCCCAGCTACTGGAGAGGCTGAGGCAGGAGAATCGCTTGAACCCAAGGGGCGGAGGTTGCAATGAGCCAAGATTGTGCCACTGCACTCCAGCCTGGGTGACAGATCGAGACTCCATCTCTAAATAAATAAATAAATAAAATGTAAACCTTATTCTCCTTTAAGCGCAACGCATTTAAAATCAGGAATATGTATTATAAATAAAATTTGAATGACAATTTGAAGATTTCATAATATTTTTGTCTCTGTTGAAGCTCCCATCCTTTTGAAATGGGAGCAAGATACAACTTTCAAATTTTTTATTTGCAAGCTCTTTTCTGGTCTTGAATCAAAAATCTAAAGCATGGCCAGGCATGGTGGCTCACGCCTGTAATCCCAGCGCTTTGGAAGGCTGAGGCAGGAGGATCTCTTGAAGCCAGGAGTTTGAGACCAGCCTGGGCAACATAGTGAGACACTGTCTCTATTTTTTTTCAAGAAGTTAAAACAAACAAACAAACAAAAAAACCTTATTGCACCTTAAAGATTTCTAGGCTGAGCGCAGTGGCTCACACCTGTAATCCCAGCACTTTGGGAGGCTGAAGTGGGCGGATCACAAGGTCAGGAGTTCGAGACCAGCCTGGCCAACATGGTGAAACCCCGTCTCTACTAAAAATACCAAAAATTAGCCAGGCGTGGTGGCGCATGCCTGTAATCCCAGCTTCTCAGAAGGCTGAGGCAGTAGAATCGCTTGAACCCAGGAGGCGGAGGTTGCAGTGAGCCAAGATCACGTCATCGCACTCCAGCGGAGACTCTGTCTCAAAAAAAAAAAAAAAAAGATTTCTAGACTAGTACCTCCATTTTATAGATGAAGAAACTTCAATGTGATTACATGATGTGCTCAAATCCCACAGCTAGTAAGCAAATGCACCAATTATAAACCAGGTCTCCTAAGCCTGATGTTCTTTTTAGGTTGACTTTCAATAAGGTCTCAATTGTTGCTAAATCAATTCCATCTCTCCTTTGGTCCAAGTTCCAAATGATTTTTGAATAATCTCAAGTTGTTTATAGTGAACCAATTTAGTCCTGCTAGTTCAATTCAAAATAAGAATTCATATTTGCAGTTCAAAGGAAAAAGTAACTGGAACCTGTATGAAGATCACAGTCCTGGTTTCTTTGGATTGCTGGTTCAACCCTGGATGCACATTACGATCATCTGGGGCTTCTAAAAATAACTAAGCCAGGGCCTGTTTCCCTCCTTGGGGCAAGACCTAACTATTGATATTTGTACAGCTTCCAAGTGATTCTCATGTACAGCCAGGGGTGTAAACCATTGCAGGTGCTTGTTTTAGATATTGGCATACAAAGCTTCATAGGCTTAGAATTCTCTTTAAGTCTGTGATTTTCTCAGAGCCAGAAGGGGAAGTATAGTGATCAAAAGAAATTAGGGCTCAGGAAAGTCTGGTGGGGAAAGCACAGAGCTGTTTAAATAGAATTGTAGTGTCCAGAGTAAGGGAAGTGAAAGCCTCACTTCTCTCCCATGTGCTTGGAGTAGGATGTAGACTCTTCAGGTCTGGCCACCCTACTATACGGGGAGACATTGACACAGCAGTTCCAAAGAGAGCAGCCAGGGAGGTAAAAAGGCCAATCCCCACTTTTTTTTTTTTTTTTTTTTAGAGAAGACCAAGACAAAGAAAAAGGATAATTGATTTGGAAAAGACTTGAAGAGGGATCGGTGTCTTTACCTAATTAAAAGATTTGCTCAGGAAAGAGAAATTAGACCAACTCTGTCGTTTTGGAAGTAGAATCTAGGGCCAGCGGGTGGGAGATGAGAACACATGGAGCTGGGAATAAAACGGGCAGCTTCCTCAATGGTGAGCAAAGCCAAGGGAAGCAGGGCTGGGGAAGTGCTGCTGAGGAAACCTCAAGGATTGGACCGGATGGCCTCCGAGTCCCTTCCCACTCTCAGAGTCTGTGATCCTAATCAGGGGACTCAACAGAAACTTAAGGGAAACCCCCTGACTTCTCGACTCGATGTATCTATTGGAGCTGGATTTTTACACCCCGTGTTAGCAGTAACAGATTGGCAAAGCAATAGAAAACAAATGCACCAATTCATGTTTTTCAGAAACTTAACAAAAGTTAGCCCCTGAAGTCATTTCTGTGTTATGTGTGTGGAGGAACACTGCCGGAGGACCCTGACCAGCTCTGCCAACTCTTTTTTTTCTTTTTTTGGATCTCACTCTGTCATCCAGGCTGGAGTGCAGTGGCACAATCACGGCTCACGGCCTCAACCTCCCAAAGTGCTGGGATTACAGGTGTGAGCCACACAGCACCCAGCCCGTGCTGGTCTTGACCTCCCAGGCTCAAGCCTTCCAAGAGGCTGGGACTACAGGCATGTGCCCCCATGCCTGGCTAACTTTAACTTTTGTAGAGACGAGGTCCTGCTGTGTTGCCAGTGCTGGTCTTGAACTCCTGGGCCCAAGCGATCCTCCTGCCTCAGCCTCGTGAGCCACCACATCGGGCAAGCCCTGCCAACTCTTTCCTGACCTGAGGCAGGGCTGAATGTAGGAGGTTAGGGAATTAGAAACCTAAGGGTTGTCTTGTTTAATTATTATTCCGGCTATGTGGAGATCTGAGCCATTTTCCGTTGTAAGGGTCCTTCTGGTTGATGTGTATATGTTGTGGTTTTTGCTTTTTTTTTTTTTTTTTTTTGGCAGGTGTGCGAGGGACATTTTGAGATTGTTCCAATTCATTGTCATGATTGAGGGATTATGATTAGGATTCTGTAAAGTAACTAGTCCAGGCCAGGTGTGGTGGCTCACGCCTGTAATCCCAGCACTTTGGGAGGCTGAGCTGGGTGGATCGCCTGAAGTCAGGAGTTCAAGACCAGCCTGGCCAACATGGTGAAACCTATCTCTACTAAAAATACAAAAATTAGCCGGGTGTGGTGGCACGTGCCTGTAATCCCAGCTACTCGGGAGGCTGAAGCAGGAGAATCACTTCAGCCTGGGAGGCGGAGGTTGCAGTGAGCCAAGATCCTGCCACTGCACTCGCGTCTGGGCGACAGAGTGAGACTCCATCTCAGAAATAAAAATTTAAAAAAAAATTAGTCCAGAAAAACATCTCACAGCTGAAGTGGTCTCATGGGAAGGGAGAACAGCACTGCCCAATAGGAATGCTATAATGGGAGCCATAGATCTAAAATCAAATTTTAGATTTTCCAGGAGCCACATTAAAAGAAGTAAAAAGAAGCAGATAATATGAATTTAAAGAATGTATTTTATGCCAGGTGTGGTGGCTCTCGCCTGTAATCCCAGCACTTTGGGGAGCCGAGGTGGGCGGATCACTTGAGGTCAGGAGTTTGAGACCAGCCTGGCCAACATGGTGAAACCCCAACTCTACTAAAAATACAAAAAACTAGCCAGGCGTGGTAGCTTGTGCCTGTAACCCCAGCTACTCGGGAGACTGAAGCAGGAGAATCGCTTCAGCGATTTAGGAGAACCAGGAGGCAGAGGTTGTGGTGAGTTGAGATCATGCCACTGTACTCCAGCCTGGGTGACAGAGCAAGACTCTGTCTCAAAAAAAAAAAAAAAAAAAAAAAAAAGAATGTATTTTATTTAACTCAGTTTGAAACATCACTTTTACTTGTGGCCTGTGGCTGCGACCACAGGCAGGGGAGGTGGACCACGCATCCTCATTGCTGGTGCAGTGGTCAGGCTCTGCCGCCCTAGCAGCACCGAGACGTTGGCCGTCCTCATGTCGCAGAGTCTCCACCTCTGCTGGTTTTGCTTTGCCTGCTTCTACTTTATTTGAAATTCTTGCCTGTGCTTCAGCACTTCCCCTGGTTTATGGGCTCCTCCACCCTGTGGGTTCTACTTCCTATGTCTTCCCCTGGTATCTGCCAGATTCCATGCTGCTCTTTTTTTTTTTTTTTTTTAAGATGGAGTCTCGCTCTGTCACCCAGGCTGGAGTGCAGTGATGTCATCTTGGCTCACTGCAACCTCCTCCTCCTGGGTTCAAGCAATTCTCCTGTCTCAGCCTCCGCAGCACCAGGGATTACAGGTGC
Organism: Homo sapiens; assembly: GCF_000001405.40. Classification (NCBI taxonomy): domain Eukaryota; kingdom Metazoa; phylum Chordata; class Mammalia; order Primates; family Hominidae; genus Homo; species Homo sapiens. Next base: position 10,534,289 of record NC_000006.12, read on the forward strand.
ATGACACCACGCTTGGCTAATTTTTGCATTTTTAGTAGAGACGGGGTTTCACCATGTTGGCCAGGCTAGTCTTCTGACCTCAGGTGATCCACCTGCCTTGGCCTCCCAAAATGCTGGGATTACAGGCGTGAGCCACTGTGCCTGGCCCATGCTGCTCTCTTGACAGCAAGTGCTCTCTGTGTCCCATTCAGATGTCCCCAGAGAGTCCTGCCTTGGGTCATGCAGCCATTGTATTAAACAATGAGGATCCCCGTTCTCATTCCACACCACCTCTCAGGCTGCGGCTGACGTCTTTGCAGGCAGCTGCCCTTTATGTAGCCCCAAGTTGTCCAATCAGCTGTGACCAGGGTGGCAGGGTCATGTGGTTTAAAAAAGCAAAGCTTGGGTAACACAGATACCTTGTCTCTACAAAAAAAAATCAAAAAATAGTCAGGCGTGGTGGCATGCACTGTAGTCTCAGCTGCTGGAGAAGTTGAGGCAGGAGGATCACTTGAGCCCAGGAGGTCAAGGGCACAGTGAGCTGCAATAGCACCACTACCCTCAGACTGGGCAACAGAGTGAGACTCTGTCTCAAAAAATGGATAAATAAATAAGCAAGCAAAACAAAACATGGGTCCGGGCACAGTGGCTCACGCCTGTAATCCCAGCTCTTTGGGAAGCTGAGGTGGGCGGATCACCTGAGGTCAGAAGTTTGAGGCTAGCCTGGCCAACATGATGAAACCCCGTTTCTACTAAAAATGCAAAAATTAACCGGGTGTGGTGGTGCATGCCTGTAACCCCAGCTACTCAGGAGGCTGAGGCAGGAGAATCGCTTGAACCTGGGAGGCGGAGGTTGCAATGAGCCGAGATCGCGCCACTGCACTTCAGCCTGGGTGACAGAGCGAGACTCCATCTCAAAAACAAAAACAGACAAAAACATGGTCCATCCAGCAGGTCCTCTGGAGGCCTCTCAGAGGATAAGACTCTCTGCATGGCCTGCTCAGGTGAAGGTGCCCATGAGGAGAACAGTGTTACAGAAAGGGGGTTCACATATGGCTTTAAAGATGTCCAAGAAGCCTCACTAGCTGTTATGAAATTAGGGCTTCCTGCCCTCCCTTTTTCCTCTCCCCACTTCCGTCTTTTACCCTTAATCTGGTCCACAACAAGATGGCATGCCTTTTAGTTTCTTGTGTGATTCAGCTGTGGATGATTTCCATTTATAAGCCCAAGATGCAAGTTCATCCACCTCCCACTTTCCTCCTGAGTTATTATTGATCCTCTGGGTTGGATGGCTCTGCCTGTAATAGGGACATTCAGTGAGTTTATTCCATTGGTCATGTGTGCCTTGAATTTTACACATTTCAAAACTGACCAGTGATTTCTGTTTCACTTGCTACAAAGGAGTATTTTGAATATAACTCCATGGGAGTTTGTTTCAAACTCACATTAAAATAGGAATGAATGCAAAAACAGCCTTTCCTGGGAGCAGGCTTTGTGGGCGGTGGGAGGAAGGAGTGCCAAGGTGTCCAAAGGGGAAGGAATAGAGAAAGGAAGATACCTGGTGGGTGATTGAGGGCCCGAAAGACAGACCCTCCCTGCTTCCAATTTGTTTTTCCCCTGGAGCCAGCCTGCGGACTAGCCCTATTGGATATTCCATGGCAGGCATCTTCCCCTGAACCCTAAATGTGGGTGGCTCATTGTATTTCTATTTCCTGTAGAGTCCATACTGGCCTTACTCTTTGTCACTGTTTGAGGCTGATATATCCCGTTAGTTCCTCTATATGTAAAAATGCAATGCTGAGGTTCCAGGTGCCGAGACCTTGAGAGATGCAAATTTGGGAGCAGAGAAGGGCAGATCCGAATCAAGGTGGTCTTGGGAACTCATCCTTGAGCCCCAGGGATGTGGCTGGGATCTTACTGTGTGCAGAGGGAATTGATATTCCCCAAACCAATCGAGCACACAGAGCTTCTGAGATGCTAGGCGAATGGACAGACTTGAAGGGGAGGAAGATTTGGGGATTTTTACTATTAGCTCCGCTTAAGCAATCTCTGTTTTTTTATATCTGCCAGAAATATCGGTTTTTGTCAACTTCTTCTTTTTTTTTTTTGAGACAGTCTTGCTCTGTTGCCCAGGCTGGAGTGCAGTGGCGTGATCTCAGCTCACTGCAAGTTCTCCTCCCGGGTTCACGCCATTCTCCTGCCTCAGCCTCCCGAGTAGCTGGGACTACAGGCGCCCACCACTGTGCCCGGCTAATTTTTTGTATATTTAGTAGAGACGGGGTTTCACCATGTTGGCCAGGATGGTGTTGATCTCTTGACCTCGTGATCCACCCACCTCAGCCTCCAAAAGTGTTGGGATTATAGGCGTGAGCTACCGTGCCCGGTCTCTTGTCAACTTCTAGAAAAGGAAATCAGAGAGTTGGGACACCTGTGAGTTCCTTTTTTTTTTTTTTTGAGATGGAGTCTCACTCTGTCACCCAGGCTGGAGTACAGTGGCGCAATCTCGGCTCACTGCAACCTCCGTTTCCTGGGTTCAAGTAATTCTCCTGCCTCAGCCTCCCGAGTACCTGGGACTACAACCTCTGCTTCCCGGGTTCAGGCGATTCTACTACCTCAGCCTCCTGAGTAGCTGGGACTACAGGCGCCCGCCACCACGCCTGGCTAATTTTTGCCTCTTTAGTAGAGATGGGGTTTCACCATGTTGGCCAGGCTGGTCTCGAACTCCTGACCTGGTGGTCTGCCCACCTCAGCTTCCCAAAGTGCTGGGATTACAGGTGTGAGCCACCACTCTCGGCCACCTGTGAGTTCTTCTCAGGGAAACAGTTTCTTAGGAAGGTGGTAAATGGCCTGACAGACTTCATTTTTTAAATAGGTAGATTATCAAGAAAACAATGGCATTAATCACTTCCCTAGAAGAAGAAAGGAAGAGTTTAATCTGCAAGTGATCTTATCTTTGCTAACCATTGTCTTCCCTCTTCACTGATCACTGAGTTTGTTCTTCGGGCATTCTGTGGCTCACACTCTATCCTTACTTTCTTCTTCCTCCTTCCCAGCTAAGTTAGACTACAGATGCTCTTCGACTTACAGCGGGGTTACATCCCAAGAAACTCATCGCAAGTGGAAAATACCATAAATCAAAAATGCATTTAATGGCCACGTGGGGTGGCTAACGCCTGTAATCCCAGCACTTTGGGAGGCCGAGGCAGGTGGATCACTAGAGGTCAGAAGTTTGAGACCATCCTGGCCAACATGGTGAAACCCTGTCTCTACTAAAAATACAAAAATTAGCCGGGCGTGGTGGCGGGCACCTGTAATCCCAGCTATTTGGGAGGCTGAAGCAGGGGAATCGCTTAAACCCGGGAGGCGGAGGTTGCAGTGAGCCGAGATTGTGCCACTGCACTCCAACCTGGGCAAGAGGGAGATTCTGCCGCAAAAAAAAAAAAAAAAAAAAAAAAAAAACAAAACAAAGAAAACGAAAGAAAATGCATTTAATGTACCTAATCTACCAAATATCCTAGCTTAGCCTAGCCTCCCTTAAACATGCTCAGAACACTTACATTGTTAGCCTACCGATGGGCAAAATCATCTTACACAAAGCCTATTTTATAATAAAGTGGTGTCTATGTCATGTGATTTCTTGAATACAGTGCACTATAGAGTACAGTCTCAGTTGTTTACCCTCATGATCTCATAGCTGACCGGGAGCTGGGGTGGCCTGCCACTGCTAGCATCATGAGAGAGTATCCTACCGCACCTCGTTAGCCTGGGAAAAGACCAACATTCAAAAGTCAAAATATGGTTTCTACTTAAATGCTCATGGCTTTCACACATCATAAGGTAAAAAAAATTATAAGTTGAGGCCAGGCGCAGTGGCTCACGCATGTAATCCTAGCACTTTGGGCAGCTGAGGTGGGCAGATCACCTGAGGTCAGCAGTTCGAGACCAGCCTGGCCAACGTGATGAAACCCCGTCTCTACTAAAAAGGCAAAAATTAGCCAGGCATGGTGGTGCACGCCTGTAATCCCAGCTACTCGGGAGGCTGAGGCAGGAGAATCGCTTGAACCTGGGATGCAGAGGTTGCAGTGAGCTGAGATCGCACCATTGCACTCTGGCCTGGGCGACAAGAGTGAGACTCCGTCTCAAAAAAAAAAAAAAAAAAAAAAAAAAAAAATATATATATATATATATATGTTGAACTCTCATAAGTCAGGGACCGTCTGTATTCTTTCCTGAATTTATACCCATGACACCTTAAATATAAACCCTGATAGATCTCATGGCATCTATGTTTTGTTATGGAATAACAGGCTTAGTTGCTGAAAGTCATAAAGTGACACAGCACAACTGAGGACTGCTAATGATTTTGACTTTTTTTTGAGTTTATAAAAAGATTGTAATTTCCCCAGATCAGAAATTGCCCCAATATGTAGTTTAATTGATTTGTATGCATTTTATGTATCCATATATATTACCATCAAAAATGGCTTACATAATAATGATAATGTATATAAATAGTTTTGCTTTGCCAATTATACCATCTTCTGGGATCTCAGAGGAATAACCAGAGACATGACCCTGTTTTAATATTCTGTTGCTCCTTTAGGTAGCAATTTCCTTTTTAAAACCAAAAAATAATGTTTCTTCCTATGGGGACCTATCTTAATTTTATACTGAGGAAGCTAAAAGTAGTTTGATGAGAAAGAAAAAAATAAGGGTTGGGCCCAGCTGGAGTATAGTCAGATGACATCAATTAGAATGCATTTAAGATTTAAGTGGACTGGTGAATGGTTTGGAAAAATAGTCTAAAGATTTGTTTACTCTCTATTAGAGTTGGAGAGTAGCTCACACTCACTGGTGGGGTTTAGAAACAAACAGGCCTGAGTTTAAAGCCTATCTCTACAGCTCACCGTCTCTTTTTTTTTTTTTTTTTTTTTTTTTTGAGGCAGAGTTTCACCCTTGTTGCCCAGGCTGGAGTGCAGTGGTGCGATCTCGGCCCACTGCAACCTCTGCCTCCTGGGTTCAAGCGATTCCCCTGCCTCAGCCTCCCGAGTTGCTGGGATTACAGGTATGCACTACCACGCCTGGCAAATTTTGTATTTTTAGTAGAGACGGGGTTTCTCCATGTTGGTCAGGCTGGTCTCGAACTCCTGACCTCAGGCGATCCGCCCACCTCAGCCTCCCAAAGTGCTGGAATTACAGACGTGAGCCACTGCGCCCGGCCCCGCCATCTCTTTAACTTTGGGCAAATGCCTCATTTCACTGAGCCTGATTCTTCATCTATATCCTGGGGATAAAATATCTCTTTGTAGGACTGTTGAAGGATTAGAGAGTACACAAACTATACCTGGCACATCATAGAAACTCATTAAATGGAGAGAGAGAGAGAAAACAGATGAACTTCTCAGGTGTTGATTTTTGAGGTTTTAATGTTACGATTCTAAAAATTCTATGTGCAACTAAAACAAAAAACAAAACCTTCTAACATTTGGTTTTGAAAGCATAAGGTCTAATTTTTGGTTAGAAATCAGGTATGTGAGGCCGGGCATGATGGCTCATGCCTGTAATCCCAACACTGGGAGGCCAAGGCAGGAGGATCAGAGGATTGCTTGAGACCAGCCTAGGCAACATAGTGAAATTCCATCTCTACAAAAAATACAAAAGTTAACCGGGCTTGGAGGCGCGTGCCGGTAGTCCCAGCTACTTGGGAGGCTGAAGCAGGAGGATCGCTTGAGCACGGGAGGTCGGGGCTACAGTGAGGGGTGGTCGTGACATTGCACTCCAGTCTTGGTGACAGAGTGAGACCCCATCTCAAAAAAAAAGGAAGGAAAGGAAGGAAGGAAAAGGAAGAAAGTAAAGGATGGAAGGAAGGAAGGAAGAGAGGGAGAGAGGAAGGGAGGAATAAATTAGGTATGTGGCTGAAGAGGTTCCCTAGGGTATAGTTCTTCTTAGCAATGTCACCTGTCTGTAGTCTTGTACCAGGAAGTAGCATTCTGTGACTAAAGCCTCCTACCTCTCCAGGCTTCTCACTTTAGACTTGTCTGAAGCCAAATGGCCTCCACAACCTGTTCATGCTGTCTTTTTGTTCTGGAATACTCTTTATCTTTGCTGCTCATTCTCCTCTGTTCAAGATCCAGTTGAAAAGTCACGGCCTCAGCTGCTTTACACTCCTGCAGAAGCAGCTCCCCTGCCCCACCTTATCCACACTTCTCTTGCAGCACCTCTTCCATTGCATCTTAACAATTTGTGTAGATCTCAGTTCCCTCTATGCCCGGGCCCTGCCCACCCCCAACCACCAGCACACCAAATGTGAGCAGGCAACCTAATGATTGGCCCAGGACCTAGACTTTTATCCAGCTTCATCACTGAGTGGGCTTCCAATATCACTTTGCATGAGGAACGGAGAAATGGAAGAGAAATCGTCTGCATGTCTAATAAGATGTTCTCTACAAGTGGAGAAAATTCCCCTTCAGCATTACAGGAAGTTTATTTTCTGATTTTTCAATTCTAGCTCAGCTTTTAAGCAGTCCACAGGGTGGGATTCCTAAATCTAAACCCCAACTCCCCCATCACTTCCACCAACTTTTTCAAAGGACAAACATCCTTTGCTGCCACCTGTGCTAAATCCATTAGAAAACACTCTTGGGAGTGTGGTCTGCCTTTGGGAGTTCTTAGTCATCTGATTGCTAGGGTCAGTATCAATTACCCTCCATCCGTTTTGAGGACTGAATTTGTATATTGTTTTTGTTTTCTTTCTATTTTAAGTTCGGGTACGTGTGCAGGATGTGCAGGTTTGTTACATAGGTAAACGTGTGCCACAGTGGTTTACCCGCACAGATCATCCCATCACCTACGTATTAAGCCCAGCGTCTCTATTAGCTCTTCTTCCTGATGCTTTCCCTCTGCCAACGCCCCCCACCAGCCCCAGTATGTGTTGTTCCCTTGCATGTGTCCATAAGTTCTCATCAATCAGCTCCCACGTATGAGAACATGCGGTGTTTGGGTATTCTGTCTCTGCGTTACTTTGCTGAGAATAATGTCTTCCAACTCTATCCATGTCCCTGCAAAGGACATGATCTCGTTCCTTTTTATGGCTGCATAATATTCTATGGCGTATATATACGACATTTTCTTTATCCAGTCTATCACTGATGGGCATTTAGGTTGATTTCATGTCTTTGCTATTGTGAATAGTGCTGCAGTGAACATACGCGTGCATGTATCTTTATGACAGAATGATTTATATTCCTTTGGATCTATGGGATCGCTGGGTCAAATTCCTATACGTTTTAGTTCAGGTCTAGAAAAGTAAAATCATTAATTAAGGGAAGTTAGCAGAGTTATTTTGGCCCTGAGAGGCTGTGATTTAAAATATTCAGAAAATGTAGTTGAAGTAGTTGATTTGGCTTCAACTTGAATTCCCTATGTAATTGCAGGGAATTCAAGGGACTCTGAATTCAATTCAGGGAATTCAAACAGACCTCTTTGCCTTTGAGCTAGTTTTCCCCCTAGGCTTTTCTTAGCCTGCAAAAATCCTGGTTATCTTTGAGGACCCAGTTGAGTTGGTCTTGCTCCTAAATCATTGACAAGCCCCTACCCTCAGGCAGAGCAGTTTGTCCTTTGTGCTCCAAATACTTTTTGTTGTCACTGTAGTTAGGGTTTGCGGTTTAATCATCTATTGCTGCTGCCAGAAAGCAGAATCTTGGAGGGTAGGGAGCTTTATATCTTTGCGAGCCTCAACCAACACAAAGCTTGGCGTCAGATTGAATTCAAATTCACCTTACGTTGCTAGTATGAAACCAATTGTGTTGTTGCTTTCATACAAATCCAGCAGTTTTCTGCTAATGAGACCTGCAATGTAAAATTTAAAAAGAAAAAAGAAAAAATATCCAACAGGTTTCTACCGTCCAAGTCACTGATAGAATCTACAACAGATCGACAGAGTTACAGCTGTTTCCTGCCCCAGTTTTAGGCACCATAAAGATTTTCTAGAAGGCTTGCCAATCATCATCATCCTGTAAGTTCTTACACTGCTACGCACTAAACTAATTGCCTTTCCCCCTCTTAAAGGTAACAGGTTTATTGAGGTATAATTTACATAGGGTGAAATTTATGACATATAATTTACATACCATAAAACTCACCCACTTTTGTGTACAATGTAATGATTTTTAGTGCCTTTACAGTTATGCAACCATGATCCCCGGCTAATGTAGAATCATTTTATTACTACACAAAGAAACCTCATGACCACTTCCCATTTCCACACCCAACCCCTGCTTTTCTGGCTCTATGGATTTGCCTTTTCTGGACATTTCATATTAACCAAATCATACTATATGTGTTCTTTCATGCGTAGCTCCTTTTACTTATTGCCATGTTTTTAAGGTTCATCCGTGTTATCGCGTGAATCAGTACTTCACTTTTTATAGGAATGGATGCTGTTCCATTATATGGATACACCACGTTTATTTTTTCATCCATTGATGGACATTTGGGTTGCTTCTACTTTTGGCTTGTGTGAAGAATGTTGCTATGAACATTCCTGAACAAGTCACTATGGGGACACATGTTTTCATTTCTCCTGGGTAGATACCAAGAGTGAAACTGCTGGTCCCTATGTTAATTCTTTTTTTTTTTTTTTTTTTTTTTTTAATTTTGAGACGGAGTTTCACTCTTGTTGCCCAGGCTGGAGTGCAATGCCATGATCTCGGCTCACTGCAACCTCCACCTCCCGGGTTCAAGCGATTCTCCTACCTCAGCCTCCCAAGTAGCTGGGATTACAGGCATGCGCCACCACACCCGGCTAATTTTTATATTTTTAGTAGAGACGGGGTTTCACCATGTTGGCTAGGCTGGTCTCAAACGCCTGACCTCAAGTAATCCACCAGCCTCGGCCTCCCAAAGTGCTAGGATTACAGGAGTGAGCCACCACGCCCGGCCCTTTTTTTTAAATTGAGACAGAGTCTCGCTCTGTCGCCCAGGCTGAAGTTCGGTGGCTCCATCTCAGCTCACTGCAACCTCTGCAATTCTCGTGCCTCAGCCTCCCAAGTAGCTGGGACTACGGGAGCACACCACCACACCCAGCTAACTTGTTTGTATTTTTAGTAGAGACAGGGTTTCACCATGTTGTTCAGGTTGGTCTCAAACTCCTTACCTCAAATGATCCACCTGCCTCGGCCTCCCAAAGTTCTGGGATTACAGGCGTGAACCACTGTACCTAGCCCCCAATGTTAATTCTATGTTTAACATTTTGAGGACCTGCCAAACTGGTTTCCAATGGATTGCAACATCTTGCATGCCCACCATCAGTGTATGAGGGTTCCAATTTTTTCATATCCTTGTTATTGTCTATCTTTTTTAGTTTAGCCCTTCTAGTGAGTGTGAAGTGGTATCCTCTTATAGTTCTGATTAGCATGTCCCTAATTAACAATGATGTTGGGCATCATGTACTTGTTGGCCTTTGATATATCTTCTTAGAAGAGGACTAAGTGCCCTTTGGACGTTATTTCTTTGAATTAAGATTGTTGCAATCACTGAGGACACTGAGATATGGAGTCTGTATTACTTGCCCAAGGACGCCCAGCTAGTAAGTGTCAGTGTCAAGATGATTACATTTGAATTTAAAATGGAGTCGATTAGGAGATGAAATTGTCTGACATTGAATTAAGGACACACTATATGGACAAAATGTTAGTTTAGGTCTGTAACTCCTAAATCCTGTGACCAAGAAAATAGCTAAGACTCATTTAAAAAATAAATAAATGGGCCAGGCCTGGTGGCTCACGCCTGTAATCCCAGAACTTTGGGAGGCCGAGATGGGCGGATCACCTGAGATCAGGAGTTCGAGACCAGCCTGGCCAATATGGCGAAACCCCGTCTCTAGTAAAAATACAAAAATTAGCCGGGCGTGGTGGTGTGCGCCTGTAATCCCAGCTACTTGGGAGGCTGAGACAGGAGAATTGCATGAACCCAGGAGGCGGAGGTTGCAGTGAGCCGAGATCACATCACTGCATTCCAGCCTGGGCGACAGCAAGACTCTGTCTCAAAAAGTAAAATAGGCAACACGGTGGCTCACGCCTGTAATCCCAGCACTTTGGGAGGCTGAGGCAGGTGGATCACGAGGTCAGGAGTTCAAGACCAGTCTGGCTAACTTGGTGAAACCCCATCTCTACTAAAAACGCAAAAAAATTAGCAGGGCGTGGTGGCAGGTGCCTATAATCCCAGCTACTCGGGAGGCTGAGGCAGAGAATTGCTTGAACCCAGGAGGCGGAGGTTGCAGTGAGCCGAGATCACCACACTGCACTCCAGCCTGGGTGACAGAGCAAGACTCCATCTCAAAAATAAATACATAAAATAAAATAAAATATTAAATAAATAAATAAATAAATAAATGGGGCCGGGCATGATGGCTCATGCCTGTAATAGCAGCATTTTGGGATGTGGAGGTGGGCAGATCACCTGAGATCAGGAGTTCGAGACCAGCCTGGCCAACGTGGTGAAACCCCATCTCCACTAAAAATACAAAAAATTAGCTGGGCGTGGTGGCAGGCACCTGTAATCTGAGCTACTCGGGAGGCTGAGGCAGGAGAATCACTGGAAACCGGGAGGCAGAGGTTGCAGTGAGCTGAGATTGTGCCACTGCACCCCAGCCTTGGCAACAGAGCAAAAACTCTGTCTCAAATAAATAAATAAATAAATAAATAAATAAATAAATGAGGTGGTCAGAGAGCTGCTGGGAAAATAAATAAAGCAATTTAATTTAATCCTAATATGTAGTTACTATGATTAGATTCCTTTTCTGCGATTTTATGTAAACCATCATTCCTCTTTTTAAGAATCAAGTGGGTACAGCCCCCCAGCCCCCTCCTTTCTAATAAAACTGTATCTTCTCTTTCTAGTCTATATCCTTTTCCTCCCAGCTCTTGCACGGTGAGCTGAAGGGTTCGTGCTGAAGTCCTAGTTGGTGCCTTTGCTTTTACTTTTTTGGCTTTTTCCATTTTGCAAGAGCTGTGCCTTGGCTGTGATCTCCATTTTTGTGGGTGCTCATTGGTCTGCGCTATCGACATTTGACCACCTAGAAACTTTGGAGTTTTGTTTAAATCCACATCAAGCCAGCTCAAACTTCCTTAGTGATTTTTGCTGCTTTAAATACTACCTTTTGTGTTCCTGAGCTTGACAAACTTAGGACAGTTTCTGACAGGGTTTCATGTTCTTTTGTTTTTACCTCGAAGGATTCATAACTGTGTCTCTTTCTAGTATTCTCCTTATTAGGAATAAAGCGAACTTCAAATTCCTATGATCGTTGCAATCCTAACCTCCTTCGTGCCTTGTGAAAAATCATAACAGTTTTCATGAAGGGTAAATCAGTCACCCTTGTAGAATTTTCCATTCAAATCCTGAGCCATGTGAAGCTGTTTTTAGCTGCTTTCCTGAGTTTAGTCCTGGTCTGGGAGACTCAAGTGTCTTCAGCTTTGTGAATCAGGCAAAAGCCAGCAGTGGAGGAGGGTGTAAGACTTCCTTGCTTTTCAGCTCCCAGGCAATACAAGGGATGGTTAAGATGGCAGGGTAAATGAAATTAAAGAAAAGGCAAGGTTAAGAAATAAAATCAGTTACAATGGATAGGTCACTGTTGACAAGATGTGGGGCCTGAAAGTAGAAACCTGGAGTTGTTCCAAAGGTTGCAGGGTCTAGTTCCAAGGGCAGCTAGAAATGACTTGATCTTTTCCCCATGTGTAATATTTTCCCGATGTGTGTTTTTAGCTTCTTAAACTGATTCCTGTAACGGCAGCCTCTTTTGCTGTTCTTTATGCCTCACTGCTGAGCTTCCCTGCCATGTCTGTGCATGCTGACTTGCTGGGAATGGGTTACAGATGGGCTACACGTTGATCTCAGCAGCATATACGGCAGGCAAAACCCAGGACAGTTGAAGCCGTTTGGCCAGATACCTCTGGCTGAGAGCAGCTTTGTCCATTTTATCTACAGGTTTCAGACAAATGCAGTTGACCAGTGCCAACAATGTGGCGGTTAGGCCCACTGAACCCCTGTGTAGCCAAAAACCTATGTATAGCTTTTGACTCCCCTAAAACTCAACTACTAAAAACCTACTGTTGTCCAGGCACGGTGGCTGATGACTGTAATCCCAGCACTTTGGGAAGCCGAGGTGGGCGGATCATGAGGTCAGGAGTTCGAGACCAGCCTGGCCAATATGGTGAAACCCTGTCTCTACTAAAAATACAAAAAAATTAGCCAGGCGTGGTGGCAGGTGCTTGTAATCCCAGCTACTCAGGAGGCTGAGGCAGGATAATTGCTTGAACCCAGGGGGCGGAGGTTGCAGTGAGCCAAGATCTCGCCATTGTACTCTAGCCTGGGTGACAGGGTGAGACTCCGTTTAAAAGAAAAGAAAAGAAAATATTACTCTTTGAAGATCTATAAAATATTTAAAGATCTCAGTGAGTTTTCAACCTTTTATTTTATTTATTATATTTTAAAGCTGATTTTTATGAAAGCAGTATATCCTTATTTTAAAAATGTAAACAGTACACAAAAGATTAAGAAAAATAAAACATGTCCATACTTCTTCATCCTTCTCTGTATTACATCTTTTTCCAGAGATAACATTAATAATATGTTGGTAATCTATGGCACACCCATCTGTATATAAAAATATACTTTATGGAATCATTACACTTTTTTTCTTTTATGGTTCATGATTTTATGTCCTACCTTAAGAAATTATTGCCATCCTGAGATCACAAAGATTTCCTTTGACCTTTTATTTTAAACTAGTTCAAACTTACTATACTTAACAAGAATAGTATAAAGAGCTCCCGTATACCTTTTATCCATATTTCCCAACCCATAATATTTTGTACACTTGCCTAATCATATCTGCTCTCTCTCTTATTCATATATTTTTCTTAAACTATTTGCAAGTTATCCCTTAATATTTCAAAGCATATTTCCTAGCAACAAAGACACCCACCCCCATGTAACCACAGTACAACTATCAAGTGATAAGTAGCATTACTATTTAATCCACAGACCCTATTCCAGTGTGCATGGTTATACTCATTATGTCCTTCATGAATCTGGGATCTGATCAAGAATCTTAAGCTAAACTTTGGCCATCATATCTCTTTAGTCCCCTCCAGTTTGGAACAATTTCTCAGTCTGTCTTTGTCTTCCAAGATCTCATTTTTGAAGAGTGCAGCTCTGATGATTTCTCATGATTAAATTTAGGTTATACCTTTTGGGCAAAGATATGGTGGAAATAATGCTGTAGAGCCTTATAATGATGATGACTTTTTATCACTTGGCTAAGATAGTGCCTGCCACATTTCTCCAGTGAAAAGCTAGGAAGTGTTTTTATTTATTACTAAGTAGATATCCTGTTTATCAAACAATCACTCTCCAGTTTTGCCATTCATTGGATCTTGCCTGACTCAGTTTTTACTGTGATCGTTACCAAATCATGAATTTTAAATAAAATTCATCCTTCTTCTGTGTTTATTAGTTGACATTCAACTATTAGGTAGAGCCATCCCTTCTCCTGTGTGTTGGCTTATTTATTTATATCTCTGGGGACTTAGATTTATATTTATTCAATGGGTTATAATCCATTATTCTTTTTACTTACTTTACTGCTCAAATTGTCCCAGACTTGGCCAGTGAAAGCCTGTTCAAGCTGGCTTGTGTGTTCTTTCAACAAGTCCCAGTGATTCTTTTTGGCACAGGAGATGTTCCAAGCTAATCCTGCACTTAACCTGCCCCAGTCTTGCAATCAGCCATTCTTTCCAAGAAGGAAGCCCTGGTTCTACTGAATAGAGAATGGTATTTAAAGATCAAAATCTGGGAAGCTGAAACAGGAGGATCACTTGAGCCTAGGAGTTTGAGGCTGCAGTTAGCTAAGATCTTGCCACTGCACTCCATGCACTCCAGCCTGGGCAACAGAATGAGACCCTATCTCTAAAAAAGTTAAAAATAAATAAATGAAAGTGAACACCACAGTTCTCCTTAGGTCAAAGGATTTTTCTGTGAAGCAGATCTGGGCACTGACACCAAGATATTCCTGGGCCTCCCAGAAAGGGCACCACAAAAGGCTGCTGCAACAAGAGCAAGAGCTTGGGAACAAAGCCGTTCACATTCAGGTCTTGGGTCAGCCATTGCTACCTGAGTGATTAGGGGCAAACACCAGTGACCTTCTGAGTGTAGCACCTAATGCCAGCTATCAGCGTCATCACTCATACTTTCCTGGTACCCTCTTATTACCATCCACTCCACTTGCCAGGGCAGCCCCCTCCCACTCCTGGTATAATCTAGATATATAAAATCTTGTTTTTGTACTTCATATAAGTGGAAATATACAGCATATGTTATTTTTTCTATCTGGCTTGCTTTTGTTCAACATTATGTTTGTGAGATTCACCGTTTTGTTGCAGGCAGTTGTATTTCATTCATTCTCATTGTTGCATAGAGAGAAGAACCCATATTTGGAGACCTTTTTTTTTTTTTGAGACGAAGTCTCGCTGTCACCCAGACTGGAGTGCAATGGCGTGATCTCAGTTCACTTGCAACCTCCACCTCCTGGGTTCAAGCAGTTCTCTGCCTCAGCCTCCCAAGTAGCTCGGATTACAGGCGCATGCCACCACACCCGGCTAATTTTTGTATTTTTAGGAGAGACGGGGTTTCACCACGTTGGACAGGCTGGTCTTGAACTCCTGACCTCGTGATCCACACGCCTTGGCCTTCTAAAGTGCTGGGATTGCAGGAGTGTGCCACCGCGCCCAGCGTGAAGACATTTTTGGTTGTCAGAGGTTGAGGGAGGGAAGCAAAAGGTGCTACTGGCATTAGTGGGTAGAGGCCAGGGGTGCCCCTCAGCATCCTACAATGCACAGGGCAGCACATCCTACAACACACAGCCCTCACAACACGGCATTTTTCAGCCCAAAATGCCAATAGTGCCCACGCTGAGAAACCCTGCTCTATAGTAACTGTTGGTGGGCATTTGAGTAGTCCCCAGTTTGGCTCTATTATGAATATGGCTGCAGCGAATCTTGACTTAGATATCTTTTGATGAATATATTTCATTTCTGTTGAGTAAATACTGGAGAATGGAATTTTGGGTCATAGGATATAGGTATGCTCAACTTTAGTAGACATTGTATTGTTGGTTTTTCAAAGTTGTCATACCAATTCACACTTCTCCATCAGGGCATGAGGGTTGCTGTTGCTCCATATCTTCACGAATTGAATTGGTATTTTCTGCCTTACTTCCTTTCTCTCTCAATCTCTCTCTCTTTTTTTTTTTTTTTTTTTTTTTTTTGAGACAGGGTCTCGCTCTGTCACCCAGGTTGGAGTGTAGTGGCACAGTCTGGGCTCACTGCAACATCCGCCTCTCAGGCTCAAGCAATTCTCCTGCCTCAGTCTCCCCAGTAGCTCTCTGTCTCTCTTTTAATCCCTTTCCTACACCGTCTTCGAATTCAGCTTATGACCACTACTCAATGCAGCAGTGTTTATTGTTAAATAATTCTGTTCTGTATTTTGTATAATATGGATTGTGCCCAGATGTGGTTGCTGTGTATCGTAATTAGAGATGGTGTTTGGGAGATGACTTGTAACCAAGGTTTCTCTCATTTAAATATAAGCACCAGGTGTTTGTGTATTCATTTTCTCCCACTACTACCACCAATTAGTTTTCCATAGTAAATTTTGCTCTAGTGGTTAGATTGTCCATCATTTGAGTTCATGTTTACTATGTATTTCCAAATTATATAGTAGTTTACCCCAATTTTTTCTGTTTGTTTGAGACGGAGTTTTGCTCTTGTTGCCTAGGCTGGGGTGCAGTGGCGCAATCTGGGCTCACTGAAACCTCTGCTTCCCGGGTTCAAGTAATTCTTCTGTCTCAGCCTCCCGAGTATCTGGGATTACAGGTGCCCACCACCATGCCTGGCTAATTTTTGTATTTTTAGTAGAGGTGGGGTTTCGCCATGTTAGCCAGGCTGGTCTTGAACTCCTTGCCTTGGCCTCCCAAAGTGCTGGGATTATAGGCATGAGCCACTGAGTCCGGCCTAACATTTTTTTTTTCTTACAATATATTAATTATAGGGAAAGTAGAGATAGGGTCATTGAGAAAAAAAAATCGAGTAATTTTGCTCTAGTCCCTTGACTCCCAAACTTTGGTCCTAGGATGAGTGGTTTCAGCTTTATCTGGGACCAAAATGCAAATTATTATTATTATTATTGAGACAGGGTCTTGCTTTGTCACCCAGGCTAGAGTGCAGTGGCACCATCATGGCTTACCGCAGCCTTAACCTGCCAAATTAAAGTGATCTCCCCACCTCAGCCACCCAAGTAGATGGCATGCACCACTGTGCCTGGCTAACTTTTTAATTTTTTTGTAATGACAAGGTCTCACTATGTTGCTCAAGCTGGTCCCAAACTCCTGGGCTCAAGTAATCCTCTCCCTCGGCCTCCCAAAAGTGCTGGGATTGTAGGCGTGAGCCACCACACTTGTCAGAAATGTAAATTATTAAACTCACCTGGAACCTACTGAACTCTTAGGGCAGGGGCCCTGTAACCTGTATTTCTACAGCTCCTCCAGGTGATGAGATGTAAAAGTAAAGTTTGCAAACCACTAATCAGTACTACCCTTATCCTCAAGCTACAGACACACCCAATTTGGCTGATAGTTGTGGAAACCAATGTTTTGGTAATACAATTAATGAGTCAGTCACCCTCCCAGTGTTAAACAATTTCCACAAGTAAATTCAGTGGTAAGTCTCATCTTGAGATGTTCATTGGCCGTGACCTATTTTTGGCAACTTAGTTTTCATTTTCCAAGGCCCCAAATGTCAGGATTTTCATTTTTCCAATTGTTAGATGTATGCTAATAGAAGACTGCCCCTAGCCACATGCGCCTTAACATTTGCCTATTTAAATACTTTGTATACTGTCTTTTGCAAGTATTTGCTTGGCATCATTCAGCATCCAGGAAGTGTTTCCATCATAACTTTGCTGCATCAAAATCAGGTGCAGATTACACCAGCTCACACAGAGATGGCAAGACCACCTCTGGACTTGCCGCCTGGGTCTTTAAAATTCTGCATGTTAAACTTCTTTCCCCGCCTCTGAGATAATTTATTTTTTATTTTTTAATTTTTATTATTTATTATTATTATTAATTTATTTTTTTTTTTTGAGATGGAGTCTCGCTCCGTTGCCCAGGCTGGAGTGCAACGGCACGATTTCGGCTCACAGCAACGTTCGCCTCCCTGATTCAAGCAATTCTCTGCCTCAGCCTCCTGAGTAGCTGGTACTACCGGCGCCCACCACCATGCCTGACTAACTTTTGTATTTTTAGTAGAGACAGGGTTTCACCATCTTGGCCAGGCTGGTCTTGAACTCCTGACCTCGTGATCCACCTGCCTTGGCCTCCCAAAGTGCTGGGATTACGGGCATGAGCCACTGCGCCTGGCTATTTTTTTTTATTTTTTATTTATTCATCTTTTGAGACGCAGTTTCGCTCTTGTCACCCAGGCTGGAGTGCAGTGGCGCCACCTCGGCTCACTGCAACCTCTGTCTCCCAGGTTCAAGCGATTCTCCTGCCTCAGCCTCCCAAGTAGCTGAGATTACAGGTGCCCGCCACCATGCCCAGCTAATTTTTGTATTTTTAGTAGAGATGGGGGTTCCACCATGTTGGCCAGGCTGGTCTCAAACTCCTGACCTCAGGTGATCCACCCATCTTGGCCTCCCAAAGTGCTGGGATTACAGGTGTGAGCTACTGCACCTGGCCTGAGATGAGAATTTAAAATAATGCTTTGGGTTCTGTGATCTAGACAACAATTTCTTTTGTTGCTAATTAGATGAAAGGTATAGAAAGTAAAATGATTGGGCCCCCGGAGAAGCAGGATTTTCCCCAGGGAATCCAACAAATCCAGAGAATGTCTTTGTTACGGGAGGATTGTTGTTTTAGTTAAAGATGTGCTTTGGAAATGTCTTCTTCCTTCATGTTAGTATCATGATCATTATCATGTTAAAAAAAAAAAAAAAATTTACAAACCACCTGGCCACCCAGAGCAGAATTACAGTCAGCACTCTGTTTCCCCAGGTCCTGAATCCTTGGATTCAACCAACCTCAGCACTCTGTTTCCCCAGATCCTGAATCCTTGGATTCGACCTTGGGCGGGGGAAAAAGAGTGGTTGCTTCTGTACTGAATATGTACAGGCTTTTTTTTTTTCTTGGCATTATTCCCTAAGGAATACAGCATAACAACTGTTTACATAGCATTTACATTGTATTCGGTATTATAAGTAATTTAGAGATGATTTAAAGTACAAGAAAGGCTGTGCATAGGTTATATGCAAATACTACATCATGTTATATCAGGGACTTATGCATTTGTGGACTTTGTATCCTCAGAGGTCCTGGAACTCATCCCTGGAACAGGGACGACTGTACTTAATACGCTGTCCAAAATGAATTGGACTGCCAGCATTCTCTACTTTTTCATGTATTACTCTTAGGTCAGGGGAAAAAACAAATCTCTGTATTTTATAATTAAGAATGAATCCCTGAGTCATTTGACTTCTTCAATGACAGAGCAAGCCACGTAAAAATACCCTTCCAAGGAAAGCCATCAGGGAGCCTCAGAATGGGTACAGTTTCACCCCATTTACCTAACCTTTTCTGCCAGTGCAGCTGAGCCTCTCAACGCGACTTTAACAAACTCTCTCTGAGCCAGTCTTCTCAGTGCCATCTTTGCTTTCATTCAACTTTACATGTCTAGTGTTGCTGCTCAAACCTGTGTCCCCTCAAGTCCTTTCCCAACTAAAGGATGGTGGTTAATTGACAATAGACAAACAAGTCTCAGAACAATTATGAGGGTGTAATGAAGTGTGCATTCGTACATGCAATTAAATAGAGGAAAGATGCAGGAGGGAATGTGTACACAATCCTCCTCCAGCTGGCACGCCCTGCCTGGAGGTGCTCCTCCACTGGAAGCCTGTTGTGTGCTCCTCTGGCAAGGAGATGAAGTCCCAGATTTTTAGTGCCTCATGCAAGGTCTTTTCCACCTCCTTCACTAGTTGACTTAGCCTGGCATGTAGCAAACTCTCAGTGTCATCTGCCTCCAACACAGTTTTCCCCAGGTCTTTCGTACCTTGGCCTTCACATGGGAAGCCAAGAGATGCTGAGCACATGGAGGAGGGCAATCTTTTCCCCCTTTGATTATTATTTTTTTAATTCATTGAGATTCTAAGTCCTCTGTCATTTCAAAGAAAGGATACTCTCTTTCCTTTGGAGCTATGTTCTACATATCATCCTAAGTGGAAAAAAATCATTAAATAGGCCGGGCGTGGTGGCTCACGCCTGTAATCCCAGTACTTTGGGAGGCCAAGGTGGGCGGATCGCTTGAGCCCAAGAGTTCAAGACCAGCTTGGCCAACGTGGCGAAATCCCGTCTCTTCTACAAATACAAAAATTAGCTGGGCGTGGTGGCACATGCCTGTAATCCCAGCTACTTGTGAGGCTGAGGCAGGAGGATTGCTTGACCCCAGGAGGTCAAGGCCGCAGTGAGACATGATGGTGCCACTGCACTCCAGCCTGGGTGACAGAGTCAGACACTGCCTCAAAGGAAAAAAACCAAACATACCTCAAATAATGTCTGCAAAATAAAAGACTATGAACGGAATATGGAGAAAGCCTCTAAGATGGCCCCAGGGGAGTGTTAACATGTCTAGCCTGATTAATTGGCTAGTTTGGGAATAATTCTATCCAAAGTGAGTGACAAGGCATGGCTGGCTAGTGTCAACTTTGTCCTCAGCTATAGTTAAAGGCAGGCCTGGAGGGCTGACTTGTTCAGTCTCAGTAGCAAAAAAGTGCATGGTGTCTGGATAAGCAGGTTGTACAGCCTATTAGAAAAGAAAGGTAACAGTCTTCCTCTAATGCAATAAGGGATTTTTTTTAAAGTTCTCCTGTCAAGATTTTTTAATACCAGAATCTGAGAGTGGAGAAAATTGGCCCAAGGACAGACAAAAGAGCTGGGAGGAAAATCGACTATATTTTTCAACACACAATGCCATTTGAAGTACTGGATTGAGTACGGAAGTATTACGAACATTCCTAATTTGGTTAGTGTCTATATTTCTTAATATAGTAATGCTATTAATGTCTGTCTCCTAAGTTTGTATAAATCCAAACCCCCATGTTATTGGCCAGTTGGAAACAATAATGTAAACAGACTCTGTTGCCCAAATTAAGTTATGTGCACCGAATGCTTTGTCAAACTGTAACTATTTTAATGTTCATTCTAAGCCACAAATCTTTGCCAAAGAAGATACTGAATTACTCTCTTTTGTTTAGGAGTAGAATACACAATAACCTAATATTTAAAAGTATTATTCAGAAGAAGAAAAACTTAGGATTGAATTTTTCTTTATCATAAATTTTAGATCATTCTCTTTGCTCGATTCCATAGAAGACACTAAGAATTAGACTGAACTGCTTTCTCATTGTATTGTTTTCTACTTGACCTAAAAATCCAGGGGTGGGTTATATAGAGAGTTTATTTAGGAGACTTTGGTAAGGGAGAGAGAAAAATAATGTACAAGCTGGAAACGCATGAAAAATGTAAACAATGAAAGTTAGAAGAATGGAAGCGACAGTGTGCTCAGGAAATGATGTGTCATTTGGTCGGAGTTCAGGGTGCCCCTGAATCCCAGGAGGGTAGCACTTGCTTTCCTGCCCATTGTGAAGGCAAGGAATCCGCGTGTTGTCCTATCAATTCCATTCATGGCAGGGTAGAGACTTTTCAAATGGAAGAAAATGTGCATTAAAGGACATTCTTTCTGCATGGGGTGGGGTAGTGAACGTGTTGGGGTTGAGGCACGGAGTTGTTTAGGTCAGGTGAATAGTGAGGGGAAATGGGCAGGCAGTCAATGGTTAAGTTGGTGTTTTGCAAGCCATTTTAAGAGGATACCAAATAAAATGCATTAATCTACATTTCATTAAAAATTAGTTGGTGGGAAAGTGGAAAGTTGAAGATGAGAACTTTCCAAGTAAAACAGCTTCATACTCCTTGGCCAGAACACCACTATATTTACAAATAGGGGATAAAAACACCCACTTCCTAGGTGGTCCATAAGCTTAACTGGGCAGGCATATGACACTTCTGAGCATTTGATGCCGTTCTCTGGGGGGGTTAAAGCCTGAATGCCCACCAAATCCCCTGTCTGAGCATCATTTGTGACCAAGATTCAAATTATTTCCCATGAAGCTCTAAGGTCTCATATAACTCAGTGGATGTAGCTCACGACTTCTTCTTTTGACCCCAGTATTCTAAGACAAACACCACAGCCGAAGCTGGAAGTGAGAGGAGAGGGGTTCGTTTCAGAGTCAGGAGCCCAAGGCGCCCCAGCAATTTCAGACCCCCTGGGACAGGAACTCCTCCTCCAGTAAGCTCTTGTTTTGAAAAACAGTGGGGTGGGGCCAAAAAAGCATTACAATGGAGCTGGGATGGATGAGGCTTTCTTTTATTTGAGATGTCACTTGTGTCACGTTTCCTGAAACAGCACGTTGGAAAACAGAAGCTATTTTCTATCCCGTGGGTTGCGCTGGAAGAGCTGAGAGGCCAGGCTGTGGATCCTTGCCACGAACAACAAGAGAGGGCAAGTCCAGCCGCCTGCTAGGGGACTAGCAGGAAGCGGCACGCCTGCCAGAGCTCATCACTTCAACTCTGGCTTTCACTGCGCTCATTCCCTGAATGGCAGTAACCAGGGGGCGGGGGTGGCATGGGAAATGAAAGAAAGAGATATGGGAAACTAAATCTGCCGGGGGAAAGAGAGTTACCGGAGTTTTAGCAAAACAGCTAGCAGATGCAAACGGGGAGGCAGAGGGAGGAGGGAAGGCTGGGCTTCAGCAACCTGCCACGGGGATTTAAACAAAGGAGGTTTGAGAGAGGCGGGATCTGGCTGTAATATCGGCACAGGGACAGAGACAGCAGCTGGACTCTCGGGATGAAACGGAATCGATTCCCAGCGTCTCCAACAGGGCAGGAGTGAGTGGAGTATGTTGCAAAATAAGAACTCAGAGAAACGAGTGAGTTTGGAAAAAAGACTTACAGATTTTGACGGTCTCTTGACATTTCACCCTTCTTTGAGGCATGCCTTTATCAATGCGTTACCTCTTCATAATTTCTGTCTCTAGTGTAATTATTTTTATCGTCTTCTCTGTGTTCAATTTTGGGGGAGATCCAAGCTTCCAAAGGCTAAATATCTCAGACCCTTTGAGGCTGACTCAAGTTTGCACATCTTTTATCAATGGAAAAACACGTTTCCTGTGGAAAAACAAACTAATGATCCATGAGAAGTCTTCTTGCAAGGAATACTTGACCCAGAGCCACTACATCACAGCCCCTTTATCTAAGGAAGAAGCTGACTTTCCCTTGGCATATATAATGGTCATCCATCATCACTTTGACACCTTTGCAAGGCTCTTCAGGGCTATTTACATGCCCCAAAATATCTACTGTGTTCATGTGGATGAAAAAGCAACAACTGAATTTAAAGATGCGGTAGAGCAACTATTAAGCTGCTTCCCAAACGCTTTTCTGGCTTCCAAGATGGAACCCGTTGTCTATGGAGGGATCTCCAGGCTCCAGGCTGACCTGAACTGCATCAGAGATCTTTCTGCCTTCGAGGTCTCATGGAAGTACGTTATCAACACCTGTGGGCAAGACTTCCCCCTGAAAACCAACAAGGAAATAGTTCAGTATCTGAAAGGATTTAAAGGTAAAAATATCACCCCAGGGGTGCTGCCCCCAGCTCATGCAATTGGACGGACTAAATATGTCCACCAAGAGCACCTGGGCAAAGAGCTTTCCTATGTGATAAGAACAACAGCGTTGAAACCGCCTCCCCCCCATAATCTCACAATTTACTTTGGCTCTGCCTATGTGGCTCTATCAAGAGAGTTTGCCAACTTTGTTCTGCATGACCCACGGGCTGTTGATTTGCTCCAGTGGTCCAAGGACACTTTCAGTCCTGATGAGCATTTCTGGGTGACACTCAATAGGATTCCAGGTACGTACAATTCCATATTTCATGCAAAAGAAATGTGTCGTATTTGAAAGGGCTTTAGAATAACCAGCCACTTTTTATTAGGAAGTAGAAGATGAAAACTGGAACATATATAGTTCTCACCCTAGTCCTTTCTAAATGCAGAAAGATGTTCTTTTTTTTTTTTGAGACTGGATCTCACTCTGTGGCCCAGGCTGGAGTGCAGGGGCAACATCATGGCTCACTGAACCCTGGACCTCCTGGGCTCCAGCAATCCTCCCACTTCAGTCTCCTGAGTAGCTGGGACTACAGGTGCACACCACCATACTGGGCTAATTTTTAAAAAAAATTTTGTGCAGACAGGGTCTCGCTATGTTGCCCAGGCTGGTCTCCAACTCCACAGCTCAAGCTATCCTCCCCATCTTGGCCTCCCAAAATGCTGGGATTATAGCCATGAGCCACCATGCCTAGCCCAGAATGATGTTCTTTATGTGATAATTCACATGTTCTAGCACTACTAAGTAATACCTTTCCATGCTATCACTTGGTGGTCCATCAAGTTCTTTTTCACACATCATCTTATTACATCTTTACCACAATAGCTGTTAGTCCACACTGGTGTTCTTTCTTTCCTCTAAATTTGTCAGGCTTGCTCTTACCCCAGGATCTTTGCCTTGGCCACCCTCCTGCCTACTCCAGGCCTCCACAGGCTCCTTCCCCTTAGCCAGATCTCAGCTCTCAGGTGTCAGCAGCTCTGATACTCCCCCTCATTGGCCAGCACACCACTCTGTTTTTCTTTTAAAGAGTTTATTGCCCTGTGGAATTAGGATATTTACCTATTTGCATGGGTTTGTTCTTGGTCTCCTCTGCATTTGTTCCATGAAGCCAGGGTTATTTTCTATCTCATTAACTGCTCCTCAGTGCTTAGAACAGAGAGTAAATGCTCAATAAGTATATATTAGATGAATAAATCAGTGAGTGAGTGAATGAATGGTAAAGCATGAAGCTTTACTATGGCACCAGAGCTGTCTCCCTAAGACATTGTTGAGCTGAGAAATATTTGGACTCATGCATGTACCATATTATATGTGTAGGATTTTTAAAAATACATTTTATTTCAAATAAAATAATGAGATCCTAGCAGAAACTCCTTGCTTTCTCACCCGAATTTTCCTATCTTTACTAATTTACCAGACCGATTGTTTTTTAAAGTGTATAAAACATGATGGGATTTCTTCTGAAGAAAACAGCGTGCTTTGGACTCAATGAAAAATACAAAATGGATCTCTGATGAACTAGACAGCATTATTATAGCAAGAGAAAAGCAATCATTGTTCTGGCTGTTGGGGGATTGCCAAGTTCGAAAGGCTGGTAGGTGCTCTCAGGCTGCAGGGCAGGGCCTGCTGGGCGATAAACACGCCGGCATTCTCTGGAAAATACCATGCCTGGTGTTTGAATCCCAGGGTGACTTTCCTGGTGAATGCGGCTCACTCGTATGCTGCGCACACTGTTTCCGCACCTGCCTCTGCCTGGGTTCATCCTCTCTTCACCTTTGATCTGTTGTTTCCACCATTCGCATATCATTGAGGAGCATTAGGTACTTAGGAGCTGATTTTCATATTTAAATATTTATTCCCTTTCTATTTTCATTCTTTCCTTAAAATTCATAAAAGTTGGGTCCCAGTCAAGTGGTTCCTTAAGTATTGTGCTGAGATGAGGGCATTTCATAAGTTAACAAAAGTCTAAATTGTTGCTTTTTTTTTTTTTTTTTAGAAAAACATGGGTTTTGGTTTCTATTAAATGTAAATATCTGTGGTTATTTTGCCAGAAGCCTGGTCAGTTTTATCAATGTCAAATAATATAAGAAAATCAAGGGAAAAAGAATTCCCCTTTTTTCCTTACCCCTTTCTGATCTCTTGGGAGACCAAAAGAATGATATCTGGATAGGTGTAGGAGAGAATGCTATCTAGATGGGTATAGGAGAGAACGACATCTACATGGGTAGAGGAGAGAATGCTACCTTTTCTTCTCTTTTTTAGGAGAGAGAACACCTTTTTTGCTGTAGGTTTATGCCATGGCATGCTGGCTTCTGCCTTCTCACTGCAACAGTGTGGCCCCATGTAAATCATAGAACCTCATGGGACCTCAAATCTCTCCAGCTACAAAATGGGGAACCCAGGTAGAAAGACCCCTTTCATTCCTACACATACCTTTCTTTGCAGAAGACACAATGCCTAGAACAATGTAAAGACCTCCCACGCTGCTAGTGGGAATCTATAGAGAGAAAGGCAGAAGGGCTGGTGAGCCTGGATCATGTACTGCCCATCAACTTTGGCAAGCGCATCCCATTTCCCTTGCAGGAATTAGAGGCGAGAGCTCCTCCAGAGAGCAACTGCCTGGAGAGGAAGGCCATTGCGGTCCATGTCAGTGGTCTGTCCTGTCTGATTCTGCAAGGGATGCCTTTCAGGATAACGTGCCATGTCCTGGGGCTTTGTTTCTTTCCTTTCTTAGACTCTGGGCAACATCCTGGTTCAGGGAGAAAGGATATCCTGCTTCTAGGTAGGCCTTCACAAATTACAAGTGAATTACAGCAAACAAATCTTCAAATGCTCTAGCCCTAGTAGTGCCTCTCTCTACCTTCAAAGGCAGTGGAAAATCTAATCCCACGCTCGAGTAACTCCCATGGTTTTACACTTGAGCATTCTTTGTGATTTAAGATTTGGCATGTGAATCTGGTTCTTATATAACCACACAGCCGTTAATCAATATCAGCTCTTCTATTTTTTTTGAGACAGAGTCTCACTCTGTAGCCCAGGCTGGAGTGCAGTGGTGCGATCTCGGCTTACTGCAACCTCTGCCTCCCGGGCTCAAGTGATTCTTGTGCCTCAGCCTCCTGAGTAGCTAGGATTATAGGCCCCCACCATCACGCCCGGTTAATTTTTTTGTATTTTAGTAGAGACGGGGTTTCACCATGTTGCCCAGGGGTAGTCTCGAATTCCTGAGCTCAGGCGATCCGCCCACCTCGGCCTCCCAAAGTGCTGGGATTACAGGCATGAGCCACTGCGCCGGGCTGAGCTCTTCTATTTTCAATGTCATGTTTTAAGAGGAAAAATTCTTCTGTCCGTACAGGGTAAACATCTTTTTGCAAACGTGCAAGTGCAGGTGGTGCTGTTCATTTCTTCCCTCAAAGCGACCGCCTCCCTTTCTCCTAAATACCTTAAATTAAAATGTGTTAGCAAGACCCTGTGCAGGCATTTCAGGTTTCCCAAAACACCCCCAAGAGCAATGTGACCGAGAAAATGATTAGTACCTTAGAATTAGATGGTTTCAGAAAACAAAGTGAAAATCGGTTCGAATTGGCGAGACTGAATAGAAGGGATATTCATAGAAGTAGCAGTAAATCACAGAGCTTCACACTGCCTTTTTTTTTTCTTGGTGCCTTTCTACTGAGAGTGACTTCTCTTTTGGTTTTCAACCACTAGGCTCTCTCTACACTGTTAGAAATGGTGATACAACAGGCCAGAAAGAGGTCCTTAGGGGCCCCAGTCTCTCACTCCTTTTCAGGGGAACCAGGTAAAGTGGTTGTCCTTCTCTTCTGTGTGGCTTGTGCACAGATGGGGTGTCTAGCCCCCTCCCTTCTGCTTACATTCTCAAAGGAAATTCTCCAGGACCACAGATTTCTCTGACCCACGTTACAGAGCATCAGGCTGTGACAGCCGTAACTTCTGACTTCCGGTACACCCTTATATTTTCTAACATCTCTGAGCTTTGTAATGATTGCTCTAAGTCACTTTAAGAAAAACCCATGTGCTCTAGCTCTCCCGGCTCTTCTTTCAGAATTTTCTTTTCTTTTTCTTTTTTTTTGAGACAGAGTTTCACTCTTGCCCAGGCTAGAGTGCAATGGCACGATCTTGGCTCACCGCAACCTCCGCCTCCTGGGTTCAAGCGATTCTCCTGCCTCAGCCTCCCAAGTAGCTGGGATTACAGGCATGTGCCACCATGCCTGGCTAATTTTGTATTTTTAGTAGAGACGGGGTTTCTCCGTGTTGGTCAGGCTGGTCTCGAACTCCCGACCTCAGCCGATATGCCCACCTTGGCCTCCCAGAGTGCTGGGATTACAGGTATGAACCACTGTGCCTGGCTTTTGCAGCATTTTCATCTGCCTATCTTCCCCAAGGCAGAGCACCTGAAGCCATTTAATTTTTGCTTTACGCTTTGTGAAATTGTTCAGCATCTACCCAAGTGGCCGCTGGTTGATCTTCTTCCCAGTCCATTCCCATGGCTAGAATGTCTTCTTACACTTCAGGGTGGTTTCGTCTCTAAGGAACAGAGCTACCCCACTCTTTGGCTTCAGCTCCTGTTTTTCCCTCGCTGCACTAAGTGTGCTTTTGGAGTCTTTGCTCATTCATTACTCTGACCTTTCTCATGCCATGATATTTTTCTTCCATAAGAATGTTTTCATTTATTTCGTTTCCTTTTTCCATTTTGTATACGTTTTCCTTTTTTTTTTTCAGGGCCCTTTTGTCAAATTCTCTCAACCTCAGAAGGGATCACATGATCCCATTTCCTCATTTTTTAATTCTAAAAATATCGTGTTTCCTACTTTGATTTATTTTGCTTTTTAAACTGTGACTTTTATTTATATGTGCACATTCTTTGGGAGGGTGTTAGGACTCTTTCGGTTGCAAGTGTCAGAAACTCAACTCAAAGGAGCTTAAACAAGCACCAGAAGTTACCGGGTCACACATCTGAGATGCCCAAGGGAGCTCCCAATCAAGCTGGATCAGCGAGTCAAACCGTGTGCTCAGGACCCTTTCTTGCTAGGTCATCTCCCTGTGGGGAGACCAACTGTCCCAGTTTGCCCAGGTCTGAGGGGCAGTCCTGGGCATGGGACCTTGATGGGTACAACCAGGTCGAGATGGTCCCCCTATCTCTCTGCATCTCTGTGCTGGCTTCCATCAGGCAAATTCTCCCCAGAAAGCCAGAAGTAGCTCCAAGTGTACTTGCTTTTCACAGTGGTTACTCCTGGGGGACAAGAAATACTTTTTCCTGAGAGTTCCAGCGGCAGCTTAAGGGAGACCTCAGATTGGCCCTGCTTGGTCCAAATTCCCATCCCTGGTTGGGCACGGTGGCTCACACCGGTAGTCCCAGCACTTTTTGAGGCCCAGGCGGGAGGATCCCTTGAGCCCAAGAGTTTGAGACCAGCCTGGGCAACAAAGCAAGACCCTGTCTCTACAAAAAATAAATTATTCACCAGGCATGGTGGTGTGCGCCTGTACTTCCAGCCACTCAGGAGACCAAGGCAGAAGGATCACTTGACAGAGTCAGAACTTCTCTGAAAAAAAAAAAAAAAAAAAAACAAAAAAAAACCCACAAAAACAAATTCCTATCCATAAACAAATCACAGGGGTGAAGAATGCTCACCAACATTTCTTGGGTCCCTTTTCTACCCTGAAGCCAAGGGCTGGGGACAGGCTTTGGTGGAGGAGGCTGCTCAGGGTGACGCTGGGCAGAGCAAAGCACAGGCCCACTGCAGGACACCCTTTGTCCTACACTGGGTGGCAGGGTGGGTTAAGGGTTGTTAACAAGCAGCACTTTGGGAGACTGAGGTGGGTGGATCACCAGAAGTCGGGAGTTCGAGATCAGCCTGGCTAACATGGTGAAACCCTACCTCTACTAAATATACAGAATTAGTTGGGTGTGGTGCACGCCTGTAATCCCAGCTACTCCAGAGGCTGAGGCAGGAGAATCACTTGAACCCGGGAGGCAGAGGTTGCAGTGAATTGAGATCATGCCACTGAACTCCAGCCTGGGCAACAGAGTGAGACTCGGTCTCCAAGAAAATAAACAAATAAGCACATCCCTCCTGTGATATTAGAGGGGCAAGATTTAGTTTTATACATATGGGTGTGTGAGTGGATACAACATTAACCATTTGTACAATTTTAACTGACCTAACCGTACCCTTTTCTCTCATAAAAACATGTTCAATAATAATGTCACTCTATTATATTTGGACAATGCTTAATTTGCAAGGGAAATTTCTTACACATTATCTCCTTTAATTCTTATAAAACCCCATAAGAAGGGGACTGTTCCCATTTTACAGATGAGAAAGTTTAAGATGAAAATATGTGACTTAGCTGGGCGTGGTGGCTCACGCCTATAATCCCAGTAGTTTGGGAGGCTGAGGCCTGTGGATCACCTGAGGTCAAGAGTTCGAGACCACCCTGGCCAACATGGTGAAATGCCTTCTCTACTAAAAATACAAAAATTAGCCTGGCGTGGTGGCAGGACCCTGTAATCCCAGCTACTTGGGAGGCTGAGGCAGGAGAATCGCTTGAACCCAGGAGGCGGAGCTTGCAGTGAGCCGAGATTGTACCACTATGTTCCAGCCTGGGTGACAGAGTGAGACTCCATCTCAAAAAAAGAAAAAAGAAAAAAAAAAAAAAAAAAAAAATATATATATATATATATATATATATATATATGACTTGTCCAAAGACAAATATTGCATATGCTTAACAAGAAATCAAAATAAAAAGAAACATCCAAGGGAAGGAGGTAGCACATGTTATCCGCTTATTTTAAATTGAACCCAGTTTAATGAATTCTTCATTGAATGATTGCAATTACTGCGAATATTCTGAAGATGAAACTTAGCTAATTCTAAGTCTTATTCAGCTTGCGGAATGGTTATATAATTAGACCCACTCAAAAACTTTCTCTTTCATCCTGATATTCAGCCCATTTTCCTGGAGATTTTGGCTTTTTCATGTGAGCAGAGGTGCAGGAAAGATGAAGGCAATTAATGTTTACTGAACATGTGCCTATGGGTTTAGAGTATCTCAGTTGAATCTCCACAAGAATCCCATCCAGTGGGTACTTAAATCCACATTTTGCAAATATGAAGACGGGACCAGAGGGGCTGAGTAATGTGCCCTGTTCCAAAAGCAGGAAGCAGAGTAGAGAATGTGTGTGGCGGGCCCCTCAAATTCTACATGCTCTGAACTAAACTCAGACTCTCCCCTTTGCAAGTCTCTGAATTTGACACCATTCTCTGTTAGCTCAGACCTGCGGGCTGGTCTCCCTTAGCTCTCCCTACCCTCATCCCTGCTGATCTGGCTCTTCCTGGAGTGTAGAAGTCAAGGGCTCAGGCTCCAGAGTCAGAGAGAACCAGGTTGGACTCCTGGCTCCTCCATCACCAGCCATGTATCCCCCGACATCTGTCAACCTTGGTCTTAGCATTGCAATATGGCACAGATGGCAGAAGCCTGGACCCTGCAGCCAGATGGCCTGAATGTGAATCCCGGCTCTGTCACTTAGAAGTTGTGTGACCTCGGACAAAGTACCTGACTTTTGTGTCTCAGTGACTTCATCTGTAAAATGGGACAATAATAATAGATATCAAATATGTAAGGTCTAAATGAGTTATTGTTATTGTATTTTCATCTATAAGATGGATATTCATTTAATAAATATTTATGGAGCAACCAGACACTTTGCTGGGTACTGAGAAATAGTAGTGAATGAGACACATAAGGCCCCTACCTCATGGAGGATACATTTTAGAAGGAAGAGACAGCCAATAAATAGTAGAGAGAGAGAAGCCAGATCATTAGAGTTGATGAGAAATGCTATGAGGGAAATACACAGGGAGCAACCTACTGTAGATGAAATGGGACAGGAAGGCTTCTTGGCAATGGTAGCACATGAACTGCCTCCCAAAATGAGAGTGAGCCAGCCACGCACTTGTGAAAGAGGTCCCAGGCAGAGGGAATAGGGATCGCAAAGGTCGTGGGTGAGCCTGGTGTCTGCAGAGCCAGAAAAGCAGCCCGTGTGGCCATAGCCGAGCGAACGAGGATGAGAGCTGGACTGAGCATGAGGCAGGCAGTGCATGAACCACACAGGCCCTTGCAGGAGGCCAGAGAAAAACAGATCTGACAGTGCCCTGCTTGTGGGCAAGTGCTGGGCACAGAATAAACACTCAGCAAAATGGATCTTGCCACAGGCCTGTTTTCTGTGGAGTCCTAATTAGGGAAAAGGAGTCAAGCTGGTGGGATCAAGGGAAAGCAGAGGGAAAGCAGATAAGCTGCAAGTCCGCCTTTCTTCATGGTCCAGGACACAACCTCCTGAGCCAATAATTCACGATTTTCCCACGACCAGCTATCACCAGACACCTGCAGATTAGCTCCCCGCAACCTTGGCATTGTCAGTACTGCACAAAGCTCTCTTCAGCATGAACACTACCCTATAAAATCTCCAGCAAGGCTTTGTTTCTTTGCAGTCAGCTTCTGCTGGCCTGCCCGTTGCCTTTTCGCAATGTATCTTCCTACTTTCTTGAAGAAATCTACCTTTCTCTACCTACAACAGTCTTGGTAAATTCTTCCTGGTAAATTCTTTTCCCCCCACACCACCGGCCAAGATAGTATCGCTCCCCCGTGACACGTTCCACTTCTGGCGCCGTCGTCTACCCTTCTTCTTTCTCTTAAAGTTGTATAATTTCTTCCTAACTAGTTTCCCTGTTCCGTGCTTTAATCCATCCTCCACAGTGACAGGATGGCCTTTGTAACATGCACCCATGATCATGCGATCACATCCCTCTCCTCCTTAGAAGCTGTGTATGGATTCCCTTCCCCTACGGTGTATGGATAGCATCCCAGCACCTTCACCAAACACAGAGAGCTCCTCGAGATCTGGCCCCCTTGGCCTTTCCAGTGACTTCTCTAGCTGCGCCCTTCCCCAGATAACTTGCGGATCCCTGTTCTGCCACTCCCAGCCTTCCTGCCCTGACGCATGCAGTCCCTCTCCCGGGAGGCTCCCGGATGCTCTTCCTCCCTATCCTGCATCTGATTGATGTGTGCTTTTTTTTTTTTTTAATTCAGCTTAGAGTCACACTCTGTAAAATTCTTTTCCTGATTCTCACTCATCTGGACTCCCGTACAACGTTGTACTATTATTGGTCTTTTTATTTTTAATCTTTAAAAAAATTTTTAGGAGACAAGGCCTGGCTCTGTGACCCAGGCTGGAGTGCAGTGATACCATCATGGCTCACTGAAGCCTTGACCTCCTAGGCTCAGGCAGTTCTCCTGCCTCTGCCTCCCGAGTAGTTGGGACTTTAGGTGCCACCATGCCCAGCTAATTTTTAAAATCTTTATAGAGATAGAATTTCACTGTGTTGCCTAAGCTGATCTTGAACTCCTGGCCTCAAGTGATCCTCCTGCCTTGGCCTCCCAAAGCGTTGGGATTATAGGCATGAGCCACTGCGCCCAACCATATCAGTTTTGCAGTGCTGTGTTGTATATTCCTAGTGACCTTTTAGAATAGGCTTCAAGGGCAGCAGCTGCACGGGCCTATTTCTGTTTACACTTAGCATACCTCGGGCACATGAGCAGTACTCAAGATGATGGAGTCCCAACTTATATTTGTTTAACCTACACAGACTTAATTAAATGCATGCACACATGTACGCTTGTGCACGCACACGTTTTATATGGGTTTAAATGGTGTTGGCCATGCTACTCTGCCCTTCATTTTACCCAATGAGTGGGGTCCAGAGTAAGCCAAGGAGTCTGCTCATTCTCTTGATGGAGTTTGCTTCCCAAGGCTCACTAATGTTAAAGGACTGTATATGTCTATCTCATAACATAGCTCGTCTGCTCAAACGAACTTCTTCATCTAGTGCTCATTAGAAGAAACAACCATCTGGACCAAGATTAAAGAGAAGGCTAGACTTATGCCTATAATCCCAGCACTTTGGGAGGCCAAGGCAGGAGGATCACTTGAGCCCAAGAGTTCAAGATAAGCCTGGGCAACATAGTGAGACCACATCTCAACAAAAAAATAATAAAATGAAATTGGCCAAGTCTGGTGACACACACCTGTATTCCCAGCTACTCAGGAGGCTAAGGTGGAAAGATCACTTGGCCCCAGGAGTTGGAGACCAGCCTGGGCAACACAGTGACTCATCTCTACAAAATATACAAAAATCAGCTGGGCATGGTGGCACATGTCTGTGGTACCAGCTACTTGGGAGGCTGAGGTGGGAGGGTCACTTGAGCCCCAGAGATGAAGGCTGCAATGAGCTAGGATGGCGCCACTGCATTCCAGCCCTGGCAACAGAGCAAGATGCTATCTCAAAGAAAAAGAAAAAAGATGAAAGGGAAGACTGACCATGTTGGAATGTGGTGCATTCCTAAGGGATATCTCTAGAGGAATATTAACTTTTAGGCCTTTTTCCCTTTACTCATTGACTCTGCAACCTCACCTCTGTGTAAGATGTATAGCTACTGTACATATTTCTTGGATGTATTGAACAGCTAATAATTGCCAGAGCCAGGGCACAAATTGATCTCTTCTTACTTCTAATCCAGTCCTCTGTCTCCTGTCCACAATGCAATGTATAGAATCGATCTTTTCTGGAAGTTGTTACTGAGAAAGGCAGATAGGGTTAAAAGTGCTAGCAAGAGAATTATCAAAGACGGAAGCCAGCAAAATTTATCATGGAGTTTTGACTTTGCCCTCGAACTCTCAGCCGAAACCTCAAGATAATGAAAAGGTGATCACTTTGCCAATGATAAATGGATTTTATAATCCCTCACTGAGAAAGTTGAATGTAAATGAAGAGCTCTGTTCTTTTCATCTTCTTGCTTACTGACTATTGAAATGAGACTTAGCTATCGGTGGAATTTTGGAGCTACTATTCTCAGTGAAATTCAGAATTCGAGAAATGTTTTCAGGAAACATCCTCCTCAGTTCTTGCCTCAGTTTACTTCGTGGCTCTTGCAGTTCTTTCCCCCTTTGTGATCTCATTTACATCTGCAGTTTCTCACCACCACCTCAGTACTGACCATTCACTTCCCTGTAGTGAGCTCCCAGGCCTTCTGCCACATCTCCTTGTTTTTTGGATATCTCTTCTCGAAGCTTCCACGAGTGCCTGCTGACATCTCCCTACTCCCCACACACCCAGCTTTCCACTCACAGTCTCTGTGGTATGGCCATCCTTCAAGTCAGCCAACTTCCCCACTTCTGGTACCCCAGGATCCAGCCAGCACATTCCATACGTTTTGTCTGTGAGAGTTTTCTAGCAAGTTCTACCCTTCCTGTTTTCATCATTACTGTTCTTAACTCTGGCCCATCACACCTGTCAAGCAGACTATTGTCGGACCCACTCCAAGTGGTCTCTCTGGCCCGAGTCTCCCTCTTCAAACCATTCTAACACTCTTAACATATTTTGCTTCTTAAGACATAGCTCTAAGAAAAACGTTTTCTCAATTCCAAAAGCTTCAGTGAGTGTCAACAACTTATTGAATTATTCAGTATAGACATCTCAACATGGCAGGTTGGATGTCAAAATCTCCCTGTTGGAGATCCCCTCAGTATTACCTGTGTTACCCCACCGTCAACTCCCATTGCTGCCTTCCCTGAAAGGAACCCTTCAGAAAAATTACCATGCCTGTAATCCTGCCATAGGTCCTTTTCTTCATGTCACCCTCTCTGTTTGTGCCATTGCCTTCCATCTCTCCATTTAAATAATGGCCTTGTTTAATGGTATGTCATTCAATGGTAACACATCATGTCATTGGTGTGTCATTTAGGAAGCTTTTTCTGGTCTTATTTTTTCCCAATTTTATACCTTTATAAACCTCTGTTGTAATGCTTTTATGTCATTCTAGAATCTCTGCATTATCATTATTAATGTGAATATCGTATTACCGCGACTAGACTATAATGTCTTTGAGGTCTTTTGTATTTTTGGCAGTCCAGCATAGTGAGCATTCAGTGGGCTGACAGGAAATATTTATTGAATTGAGTCAAATGGAAATAATTTTAGGATGTTGGTGCCCCTCAGCACTGCTGCCTAGTCAACTTCAAATCATTACCACTTGCATCACCCCCTGCCACCCACTCCCCCCGCCACACACACACACACACACACACACACACACACACACACCCCCTAGGTAATTTTGCCAAATCCTGAAGGGTCAACTTCAAACAGTATCTTTCAGCCATGTTTTCTGAGACAGGGTCTCACTCCATCTACCAGGCTGGATTGCAGTGTGTGATCTTGGCTCACCGCAGCCTCAAACTCCTGGGCTCAAGCTGTTCTCCCACCTCAGCCTCCCAAGTAGCTGGGATTATAAGCATGAGCCACTGCACCTGGCCCATGTTCAATTTTTCTTTGACGTTTCCTAAATGCTCCTCTGTTCTTGGGCAACAGCAATGAGACAGTTCTCTTCCACTCAGTTTTTCCAAAGCATCCTGCTTATTTTGGGAATGCTTCTCATGCTGAGCCCAGCCTGGGGGCAGCATCTGCTCCAGACAGGCTGTTCTTCAACCCAAGGTCCAACCACCATCATAGTGGACCATTTGCAGTCTCAGCTATGCCCTAAGCAAAAATATGTTAACTGCTCTTCTAACTAACCATTTCTCAGTGTAGTTTTTCCATGCTAGGACTACTCATAAACCTGTCTTTCTCTTACCCTCTGAGCTCATATGGATTTCTTCCTTCCTTCCTTCCTTCCTTTCTCTTTCTTTCTCTTTCTTTCTTTCTTTCTCTTTCTTTTTCTTTCTTTCCTTCCTTCCTTTTTCCTTCCTTCCTTTCTCTCTCTCTTCCTTCCTTCCTTCTTCCTTCCTTCCTTCCTTTCTTTCTCTCTTTCTTTCTTCCTGACAGAGTTGCACTCTGTCACCCAGGCTGGAGTGCATGGCGTGATCACGGCTCACAGCAGCCTCAACCTACCAGGCTCATGCGTTCCTCCCATGCACCACCATGCCCAGCTAATTTTGTAATTTTTGTAGATATGGGGTTTTGCCATGTTACTCAGGCTGGTCTTGAACTCCTGGACTCAAGTGATTCACCTGTCTCAGCCTCCCAAAGTGTCGGGATTACAGGCATTAGCCACGGCACCCAGCATGTGGCATTCTTTCTTAAGTGCTTCTAGACAAAGCAATAAGTGGCAGAAGGCTTTCCCCAAATCCATTTACCTTGTGTCTCCTTTTGACACCACATTTCTGGAGAATGGATGGATGGGAGTTGGGCTTTCGAAACTTTGCCCTTCAGCTCTGTACTTTTGTGAAATGTATTCTCCCATAATCTTCCTCCTCAGCCAGGTTTAAAAGATCAGAACTTAACTGTGAAAATATTGGAGGATACAACTTCAGTCTTTCCCGAGTAAGCTGGAGATACTCATGTCATACTGATAAATTTAGCTTCGTGCTACCATCAGCCCTCTCTTCTGGACATTTCCTGGTTCATTTTCTTTCTAGCCATCTCCTTCCTTAGACCCAATCTTCACATAACTCTTCCTTCACTGAAAATCTAATTCTGCACTTGGTCCAAGTCTGAGCTCCTCCTTCAAGCTCTTTGGGGGGCCTACTGAAAAAGGCCCTCCTGCCTTAGAGTCCAAATCCCCTCTTGTGTCCTATGTGAAAACTACTGTCCCCAAGACCCTGAAGTCCTTGCTATGTTTTGGGCCATGTCCTAGAGAGGCTGAACTTGTCTCTGTCTGGTTTCTTCTCTCCCAGGATTTTGGTCTGTTGGAGTTAACCGGCTTCCTCCCCACTTCTAAGCCTTGTAGATTTATCTCTGGTCCATTATCCTACCACTTTATGGACTTTCTTTGTCAGGTACTCAGTCTAAACCAAGCCTCTCAGGTACAGTTTTCCCATAAAAACAGCCTCCTCTTTATTCTATGCTGAATCTAAAATAATGACAGCGTTTAGAACCACAAGCGGCCTTAGAGAACATCCTCTAATCCTAGTTATACAAATTTGGAGATTGTGAGCCAGAGAGATCAAGTGGCTGGCTGATTGTCCTGCTCCTTAAAATGAGTTTACATTTTTTAGCCTCACTGCCTATTTCTTATAAAGCTTAGAATGAGCATTCCATCCCTACAATCCCATATGTTTCTATTAATCCCACCCCATACGGAAAGAAGATCTCTCAAGTTACACGTGGTATAGAGGGAAGGGAGTTTAGAAACTGTAATGCTATAGTAGAAATTATGATGATGATCATGATAATTATTATTATTATTATTTTTTGAGACAGAGTCCCGCTCTTGTTACCCAGGCTGGATGGAGTGCAATGGTGCAATCTCAGCTCACTGCAACCTCCGCCTCCCAGGTTCAAGCAATTCTCCCTGCCTCAGCCTCCCGAGTAACTAGGATTACAGGCGCCTACCAATATGCCCGGCAAATTTTTGTATTTTTAGTAGAGATGGGGTTTCACCATGTTGGCCGGACTGGTCTTGAACTCCTGACCTCAGGTGACCCACCCACCTCAGCCTCCCAAAGTGCTGGGATTACAGGTGTGTGCCACCGCACCAAGCCCTATAGTAGAAATTATTATCTCTTCATGTTCTCCCATTATTGTTTGTTACTAAAACCTTCCTATATCCACTGGAAAACATCTGTGTAGTTGGTATAATTTAAATGCGTTCTTTTGGGTTCACTGTAAAGCCATCCCATGAATATTAATCACTTGTCCCCATGCCTCAGTGGTTCACGGAAATGTGAAGAAGGATCACGCAGAGATTTTCTGCACTATAGACTTAGTGATGATTTGCACGCCTGCCCCCTCCACACCCCCTGAGATAATGATTTGAATGTTTCTTTTCCTTTCACACTGATAGTTATTGTATGTCCCTAATCAGTAATACCTTCAGTAGTAATTGTCTATCTGGGAGTGGTTAGGACTGATGCTATCTAGAGTGAACAATTCTCCCTGGTCTGCCAAAGCTTCTCTAGCTCTAGTACTGAAATCCCGTGTTCTGGGAAACCCCTCAGCTCTGGGCAAGCCGGGACAGTTGGTCACCCTGAGCACCTCCCACCCCATTCCTGCTCACCTTTCCATGTCAGGATGAAGAATTCAGTGCCCAAAATATTTATGTTCCGCAGAACTGCACTGATCAATAACCTGGAAAAAAAATGATCCTTGAAACCACTCATTTATGTAGGTTACAACATATTGAAGGGTAAAAATCAAAGCTACAATATTAGCCCTGAAGACCCCAACCAAAGTGAACCTGGACTGGACCTATTCCATTTATAACGCTTTTCCCATTGTTTTTGAGGAGAGAGTATAGAGTTTAAGGATGTCATCTAAAAGGATAGATGGCAGGCCGGGCGCTGTGGCTCACGCCTGTAATCCCAGCACTTTGGGAGGTCAAGGAGGCCAAGGCAGGCGGATCATGAAGTCAGGAGATCGAGACCATCCTGGCCAACATGGTGAAATCCCATCTCTACTAAAAATACAAAAAAAATTAGCCGGACCTAGTGGCGGGCGCCTGTAGTCCCAGCTACTCAGGAGGCTGAGTCAGGAGAATGGCGTGAACCCAGGAGGCGGAGCTTGCAGTGAGCTGAGATTGTGCCACTGCACTCCAGCCTGGATGACAGAGCGAGACTCCGTCTCAAAAAAAAATAAAAATAAAAATAAAAAATAAAAGGATAGATGGCTAAATATAAAATGTGAACTTAAAACTACGTTACCCAGTGAGAGCATCAAATGCAAAAATTGTCTCCAGTTAGGTACAAACACAGGATGTATCTTGGAGGCAAATTTATTCCTGATTTAATTTCTAGGAAAGCAGAAGAAACGTCTGCTTTTTGGGATCTATCCAAGCCCTCTGCCCTAACAAACGGTCTAAACTCAGGCAAATGGCCGGCTCTGTGGGAAAGGAGCTAGTATAAGAGTGGATTGAATAAACTGAAAATGAGTCCAGAATTTAATAAGGCTATTAAAATTAGAAGTTGCAAGAAATCACTGCCTATCTCTATTTTAAGACTTTTGTTTCCATTTATTTGAAAGTGTTCGGAAGATATAAAGGATGGGATGTTCTAGATATGGATCTCTGGCAGCAGCTGGATTGTCAAATAGTGTCTCTTGGAACTTCTCAACTTCTTTTTCCTCGGATGCGACATTCGGAATCAGAGAAAAGTTGTTGTGCAGAAAGACAAATAGTTACCTACGCTGTTCCTTGAAACTTAACAGAATATAGTCAAAGATAAAGTTTTCATTTGTGGGTTTTATTGTTGTTGTTATCTTTGCTTGGGCATTTAGTGTTAACAGCTGGGCAGTTAACACCAGAAGGGAAAGAAATTTTGTCTCCCAGTGGGGTTGCTAGGGAAGTAGAGAAAAGCAGTGTGTCCCTGGAAGAGCAAGGTAAGTTGGGGTGGGGGCAGGTAGTGTCACAGACAGAGAAGCCATAGCAAGCTTCTTCGATTTACTTTCCACCACTTGGATAGGCTTTCTACTACTGCCTTTTAAAAATTGGAAAGCTAAGGCACAGTAATTTTTAGAAGCTTTCTCAGGGACCCTTAGCAAACAGCAGGGCCAGGTTTAAATGTGGTCTTCAACTGAAAAGCAGTGGTCTTCACCACCATGCCGCATATTGACCCCATCGTTAGCTTTTTGCAGGTGCACCAGCAGGCCAGCTCACTGGAGTAACCAAGTCAGATGCAGTGTCAAAGCCCAGGCTGCAATTGGGAATGAAAGGCAGTTCCCCCACACTGGGCTGAGACTGCCCGTGACAATGGTGGCCTTGAGGGCTTCTGCCTATGCTTCGGGATATTTCAGGTGGCAGAAGCACCCCTGCACACACAGCCATGCTGCTTCACTAAACCTACCCTGTAAGGTGGTCAGGGTGCTCAGGGGCCCAGATGAGCCAGGTTTGGCAACAGAGAGAAATGTCTTGAGATTTGTCACGTACTAATTACATGCAAGGCATTGTTCTAAACTCTTTTTATATACTAGCCTATTTCAATCTCTTAAGAACCCTATGGGGTCAGCGTTCTTAATGTCTCCATTCTGTAGAAGAAGAAAGGAAACGGGGGCACGCAGAGGGGCTCTGCAGCCTGCCATAAATGGTGGCATCTGACTGCCCTGGCATATCTCGGACTGGCCAAGAGAAGCTTGTCCACTCATGGGTTCCTTGTTACCTCCACCAGAAACCAGTTTCGGTGGGCATCAGGACAACATATATGCATGTGCTTATATACCTACCAACCTCTTTAACTCTCACCGCCTTGTGAGGTAGTTTCTATTACCTTCATTTTACAGAAAAGAAAACTGAGGCTATGAGTGTAAATTACTTGCCTACATTCTCTACAAATCCACCCCTTTGCACTGCAACCCAGATGGCACATATAAAGGGGGTGTGGGTAGAAGGATGCTCAACATTATTATTTTCCCTCATTTCACACTTCCTCATCTGGAAAAACACAGAAATTATAGGTGATTGTAAAGATCCCAAAATTGCAAAATTTAGGATGGGGGGAGCATGATTATAATCTAGAGCAGAGATCAGTGAACTATAGACCATGGGCTAAATCTGCCTATTTTGGTACTGCCCTTGAGCCAAGAATGTTTTTTGTTTGTTTGTTTGTTTTACAGTCTAGAGGTCTTTTATTTTTTTTTAACACCTATGATGCCATGAATTCGTAGGGAAGAGGTTCCAGCAGCTCAGCCTCCTTCCCACTGGCTCTCATAAAGTGTGCTACTCTGGGTGGAGCAGGCTGG
This sequence comes from Homo sapiens, assembly GCF_000001405.40. NCBI lineage: Eukaryota > Metazoa > Chordata > Mammalia > Primates > Hominidae > Homo > Homo sapiens. The sequence goes on from NC_000006.12 coordinate 10,574,840, forward strand.
CGCTTCAGTTGAACCCAGGCACCTTTCTCTTTGTCTTCTTTCTTTTTCTGATCGTTTTTCTTCAAGCGTTTCAGGAAGCTAGCTCGGCTCTTAGAGTGCTTAATGTGCTCAATACACACATTAATTCTCTTGGCAAGAATCTTGCCCTTAACTTGTTTGTTTACAACAATGCCAACGGCATGCTGGGGAACACTGCAGACTCTTCCCATTTAGCCATGGTAACACTTGGGGGTGTTCCTTTTTGAACAGTACCCATTCCCTTGATGCCTGCAATGTCACCTTTCTTATAGATTCACATATACGTGGCCAAAGGAACAACTCCATGTTTTCTAAAAGGCTTAGAGAACATACATTGGGTGCCTCTCCTCTTTTCCTTTGTGTTCGTCATCTTGGCAAATTAATTTTTATGTGATGAATTAAATCCTCTTTCTTGTCAACCAAATTTTCCGTGATAGTGTATCTCATACAGTGTCTGTTTAACTGGAAGATGGTAGTTCTGGCCAAAAGGCTGGGTTGACATTTTTTTTTTTTTTTTTTTGGAGATGGAGTTTCACTCTTGTCCTCCAGGCTGGAGTGCAATGGCGCGTTCTCAGCTCACTGCATCCTCCGACTCTTGGGTTCAAGAGATTCTCCTGCCTCAGCCTCCCAAGTAGCTAGGATTACAGGTGCCTGCCACCACGCCCAGCTAATTTTTTTGTATTTTTAGTGGAGATGGGTGTCAGGCCTCTGAGCCCAAGCCAAGCCATCACATCCCCTGTGACTTGCACGTATATGCCCAGATGGCCTGAAGTAACTGAAGAATCACAAAAGAAGTGAATATGCCTTGCCCCACCTTTAACTGATGACATTCCACCACAAAAGAAGTGTAAATGGCCAGTCCTTGCCTTAACTGATGACATTCCACCACAAAAGTGTAAATGGCCGGTCCTTGCCTTGAGTGATGACATTACCTTGTGAAAGTCCTTTTCCTGGCTCGTCCTGGCTCAAAAAGCTCCCCCACTGAGCACCTTGCGACCCCCACTCCTGCCCGCCAGAGAACAAACCCCCTTTGACTGTAATTTTCCTTTACCTACCCAAATCTTATAAAACGGCCCCACCCCATCTCCCTTTGCTGACTCTCTTTTCAGACTCAGCCCGCCTGCACCCAGGTGAAATAAACAGCCATGTTGCTCACACAAAGCCTGTTTGGTGGTCTCTTCACACGGACGTGCATGAAAACGGGGTTTCACCATGTTGTCCAGGCTGGTCTCGAACTCCTGACCTCAGGTGATCTGCCTGCCTTGGCCTCCCAAAGTGCTGGAATTACAGGCGTGAGCCACCACGCCCTGCCACATTTTCAAATGATTGAAAAAATATCAAAAGAAACAACTTCGTGACATGAAGAGTTGTAGGAAATTCAGATTTCAGGATCCATAAAGAAGGTTTTATTAGGACACAGCCATGCATTGTTATGGCTATTTTCGCACCTCAACAGCAGGGTTGAGTTGTTGCAACAGAGACCTAGTGAATGGCCCACAGCTTTAAATACCTACTACACAGCCCTGTGCAGAAGAAACACTGATGCCTGAAGTAGAATCACATGGCAAACATATTTGCCTCACGTTATCTGAGGAAACAGTTTGGTCGTAATCGTGAGTTTCCTAGATAATTGAAGCCTTCCCTTTTGTGCACAGAATAGTTAATTAAAAAAACAAAAATCTATTCAAGGAGGCTGGAATTCAGGATCCAGAGGAAGAAGCATTTGAGAGTGGAATGGAAAGACTTAGGGGGAGGTAGGAGGAATGGGTTGGGGAGTTCCAGGATGAAAGAGGGCTTTTCAATAGGACAGAGACAGAAAGAGATTTGGGGAGAGAGAGAGACACACACATAGAAAGAAGAACCAGGATTCAGAGATCATTGCAATCAGAAAAGAGGAAAAAGTGTTGTAAGCAGGAGCTCAGAAGCACTCAAGAAGCCGGATACAGTGGCTCAAGCCTGTAATCCCATCACTTTAGGAGGCCGAGGCTGGAGGATCACTTGAGGCCAAGAGTTCAAGACCAGCCTGGGCAAAATAGCTAGACTCCATGTCTAAAAATAATAACAATAATAATAATAATAATAAAATTAGCCAAGTGCCTGTAGTCTCAGCTACAGGAGGCTGAAGTGGAAGAATCTCTTGAGCTCAGGAGTTCAAGGCTGCAGTGAGCTATGCTCTCACCGTTGCACTCCAGCCTGGGTGATAGAGCGAGATCTCATCTTTAAAAAATTAAATGAAAATGAAAAATAGAAAAGAAGCACTCAGGAGGCTGGTGAGAATTGGGCGTGTGTGACTTTGGCCTAGCAACTTTACCTCCCTGAGGCTTTCTTGCACATCAAATGGAGAGAAATCACACCTCGCCCAAGGGGGCTGCTGTGCAGTGTGAGGGGGGAGGTGACAGCCATGTAGGGCAGGGGGTGGGCTCTGCACTCAGACGCCTCCCGCGGCTCCTGGAGTTGCCTCCTCTCATCCCAGGCAAGTGACTACATTCCCTACCTTCGGGAGCTCAGCCACAAAGTGAGCAGAGTGGGATCTGTCACCCTGGGAAATTGGCAAGATGCTACCTCCTTCCTGATAGGTCACCGAGCAGTCTGCCCAGAGCCCCAGGAGCAGAAGTGCTCATGGGCCAAGTTAAGGGGCTCGAATTCCATGGTTCCATGGTTTGTTGAATGCGTTTATTTTTTATTTTATTTTATTTTTTTGAGATAGAATTTCACTCTTTTTGCCCAGGCTGGAGTGCAATGGCATGATCTCGGCTCCCTGAAACCTTCGCCTCCTGGGTTCAAGTGATTCTCCTACCACAGCCTCCCGAGTAGCTGGGATTACAGGCGTCTGCCACCATGCCCAGTTAATTTTTGCATTTTTAGTAGAGACGGAGTTTCACCATGTTGGCCAGGCTGGTCTTGAACTCCTGTCCTCTGGTGATCCACCTGCCTCAGCCTCCCAAAGTGCTGGAATTACAGGCGTGAGCTGCTGCACCCGGCCTATTGAATCCATTTAAAGCAAACGCCAGGTCATTGTTTTTGAACTTCGTGGTGGTAGGAGGTGCACCTTAAAATCAGCGCTTTGCATAACACTTATTCCTTGATTTAACCCACCACCACCATGACCACCCCTCACTGATTCACCCAAAAGTGGGTTTATTTGTTGTCTTTTCTCTAACTTCTGTAGTTGATTGACCTCATTCAAGAAATATCTGTTGGGTACCTCTGCTCTGCACTGCTATTTTCAGTGGTAAAGAGTAGATGAAACTGGCCAGGCGCATTGGCTCACGCCTGTAATCCCAGCACTTTGGGAGGCCAAGGTAGGTGGATCACTTGAGGTCAGGAGTTCGAGACCAGCCTAGCCAACGTAGTGAAACCCCGTGTCTAATAAAAACACAAAAATTAGCTGGACACATCTATAATCCCAGCTACTCTGGAGTCTGAGGCAGGAGAATCGCTTGAATCCAGGAGGCGAAGGTTGCAGTGAGCCGAGATTGAGCCACTGCACTCCAGCCCCTGGGCAACAGAGTGAGTGAGACTCTGTCTAAAAGTAAAAAAAAAAAAAAAAGAGTTGATGAAGTCCCTGTCTTCATGGAGCTTACATTCTTTTTTTTTTTTTTTTTTTTTGAGACGGAGTCTCGCTGTCGCCCAGGCTGGAGTGTAGTGGCATGATCTCGGCTCACTGCAAGCTCTGCCTCCTGGGTTCATGCCATTCTCCTGCCTCAGCCTCCCGCGTAGGTGGGACTAGAGGCACGCGCCACCTCGCCTGGCCAATTTTTTGTATTTTTAGTAGAGACGGGGTTTCATCGTGTTAGCCAGGATGGTCTCAATCTCCTGACCTCGTGATCCGCCTGCCTTGGCCTCCCAAAGTACTGGGATTACAGGCGTGAGCCACTGCGCCCGGCCCGGAGCTTATATTCTTGTGGAGGAGAGAACATGGAAAAGGATAAGCATACAAAAATGAAGTTAACTTAGATCCATTTTGTTGTTGTTGTTGTTAAGATCATCACTTTTGAGCACTTGTTTAAGGCAGATATCTGGATTAACCACATTGAGGAACTGGGAGGAGGCGGAGAACTGGAAACTGTGTTAAGTAGGGGTTGACTAAACCCTGCTTCTGGTATGAGAAAGTTAAGCTTATCTTCAGAATGGATGCTGAGGCAACATCAAACTATAGGAATTCACCACACTGCATAATTTTGTTTTAATATGAATTTCTCTGATCTCTAGTGTGAGAAGAGTGTGTTTCTATATGTTCATTGGCCATTAGTTTTTTCTGCTTTGTGATTGTCATGTACTCTGCCTGCTTTTCTCTTTGGTTATTTACCTTTTCTTATTAATTTATAGGCTACCTCTTCACAAGAGGAATATTAACCTCTAGTCTTACAAAACTGTTGTCCCAATCTATTATTTCTGTATTCTGTGCTATTAAAAACAATGACTCAATGAAAAAACCCACTATATTAAATAAATATATTTCAGAAATGCATTTTTAAATAGAATGTGCAGAATATATGTATAACATGTCTATTAATCCATTTCTATTTGTTTCACTAAATGTTTGTATTCTGCTTATATTCAAAGAAAGCTAGGTTGGCCTGTTTTCTTCACAGCTTTCAAGTCCTTTCATAGACATTAACTTGTTTGATCTCTATAAGTACTAGAGATATTGATCTAGTAAAGTAATAAAATGGGGCCAGGCATGGTAGCTCATGCCTATAATCCCAGCACTTTGTGAGGCTGAGGCGGGTGGATCACTTGAGGTCAGGAGCTTGAGACCAGCCTGGCCTACAGAGTGAAATCCCGTCTCTACTAAAAATACAAAAATCAGCTGGCTGTGGTGGCTGGCACCTGTAATCCCAGCTACTCGGGAGGTTGAGGCAAGAGAATGGCTTGAACCCGGAAGGCGGAGGTTGCAGTGAGCTGAGATCGTGCCACTGCGCTCCAGCCTGGGCCACAGAGCGAGACTCCATCTCAAAAAACAAACAAAAAAAAAAAAAAAAAAAAAACAAGTAATAAAATGGGCATGGAGCTGTATAAATGCCGGTATCCTTACACCAAATGATCTCACACAGCTCTGCGTTTGTAGTTGAACTTACTTCACCTACTGCTGTCGGCAGGGGACCTGAGCCTGCCAGTTTTGTTTCCCTGTTCTAATTTGTGACTTTGCATCTGCTTAGCTATAAGAACATTTTATGATCGTGTCTAAACTAAGATTTAACAGGCTAAGCCTCAGAGGGATTTAAAGGATGTAAGCTTTGATGCTTAAACCAAAGAAGACAAAACTGGCATCCTGAGGGCCAAATGCCATCCTTAGGGGTAAGTTTGAGAGTTTTTCTGATAAAATTCAGGTTTCTCACTTCTCTGAATACACTGGAAAAGCTGGCAGCCCTGGGCTCATGATCCCCTGTGGCATTAATTGCCAGGGGTCAGGGGGGTGGGGAGGGATGCAGGCTCTCTCATTCCCAGCAGCCCCCACCCAATCCTCCTCAATGTCTGCTGCCCTCTGTGAACTCACCGGCCCTGCTCGTCTGACCCTTCACCAGCTTCCCGCACTGTGCCTTACCTGCCTGTAGGCATTTGAGTGCCTGAATCCGTCCTACAATGTGTGATGATTATTTTGGTTGCTTGGAGATCTGTTTTTGCTTAATTCCTGCATCTCGCTTGTGGCCAAAGAGTTTGAGGTTGCCAGCCAGGCACAACTAAAGCCTTAGACACAGATGAAGATGGAGTGGTCTTGGTGGAGATGAGAGGACTCATCAAAAAGCATTGCCTTAAAAAAAAAAAAGATTCAATAGCCACTCATTCTGCAGAGGGTGATGAAGAACGGCAAGGATTTGAGAGTAGGTCCGACTCGGGTTCCAGTCCTGCCCCTCCCCTGACCGGCATCTGCCTCAGCCTTTGTAAACTCACCTGCAGTGGAAGCAGAGCTCGTGGAAGATTAATGAGAACTAACTCATTGTGAGGGAAGAGAAATCCCAGCACTGCTCAGAGGGCCCCGCAGGCAGCCCAGCCCTGGTTTTCATGTTGAGTTGAGATGATGATGTGTTGTTAGCCATAGTCCTTGTGCTGTCTTCTTGTTTGTGACCGTAAAAGTTATCCTGGGGCAGAGAGAGGTGGGACTGATACAGAATGACCACTTAACAATTTTCAGTCTGTTGAGCCAACTAGAGTGGGCAGAGCAGAAATAATGCCCTGGTTGGAAGTTAATAGCTTTGCCTGCCCAATTATTTACTGGAAGGAAATGCCTGTTCAATATACCATTTGATATATTCAAAGATACCAAACAAAACAAACCTACTGCTAGGGCCAGCCACTCAGAAGGCATCACATGCTAGTCTCAGTCTGTTCATCTAAACCACTGTAAATAAGTCAGGACAAATGATGTACATGGTTTTGGGGTTTTGTTTTATGTATGTATTTATTTATTTTTTATTTTTTATTTTTTGAGATGGAGTTTTGCTCTTGTTGCCCAGGCTGGAGTGCAATGGCGTGATCTGGGCTCACTGCAACCTCTGCCTCCTAGGTTCAAGTGATTCTCCTGCCTCATCCTCCCTCGTAGCTGGGATTACAGGCATGCACCACCCCACCTGGCTAATTTTGTATTTTTAGTAGAGACAGGGTTTCTCCATGATGGTCAGGCTGGTCTCGAACTCCCAACCTCAGGTGATCTGCCCTCCTTGGCCTCCCAAAATGCTGGGATTACCGGCATGAACCACTGCACCCGGCCTCATTTATTTATTTTTGGATACTGCTGTTTTGAACTATAAATCATGCTGCCACTCCCATCTGCAGACTGCTTTGGCTACATCATGTTGAAAGATTTCTTGAGTTTGTTTTGCATTGGCACTTATCAGAGCTCCTTATTGTAGGATCAAGGCTTGAGGCAAAGAGAAGGGAAAAAACCGACTGAACCTGCAATAGAAGACCTTTGCCTCTCTTTTCTCACTCCAACTTTCCCCTTCTGTTCTCCACAAGACCTGCCAAGGACAAATTTTACAGAAAAGGGTGTGGTTCTAGTAAGAATGAAGAGACATGAAGGCATCAAAATGGGTTATTGGATTGTTCCCTTCATACAGTCACATTTCTAGAGTGTGTGTGAATATACATAATAAAATAGTAATATATATATATACACACACTTATATGTATATATAAATATATTTATGTGTATATATGTATATATCATATGTATTATATGTATATATTTAAAAATACACATGTAATATATATTTTAAATATGCATACAAAAATATATCTCTTAAAGTACATATAAAAAACATTTATAAATGCATATATGATATATTCATATATGTATGTGTATAAAATATTTTATATAAAATATATTTTTATATAATATATAAAATTTATTATATATATAATTATATATATTTAAATATATAAAATATATATAATATATACTATATATTAAATATATAAATATATATAATATTACTATATATTTAATATATAGTAATATTAAATATAATATATACTATATAATATATAGTAATATTAAATATAATATATACTATAATTTAATATTTATTATATACTATAATAAATAGTATAATATTTATTATATACTATAATTTAATATTTATTATATAATATATATAATAAATATAATATATACTATAATATATACTATAATATATAATATAATACATCATATATTATATTATACATCATATATTATATATCATGTATAATATATATCATATATATTTAAATATATATAAACTATATATAAAATATTTATATATTTATATAAATATATATATTTTTTTTCCCATGGGCTAAAGGGGAGGCAGTGATGGGGAAGAAAAGAGTGGAATTTAACCTCCGGGAATAAAGCATTTGAAAACCTTAAGGTAAATGCTTTTTTTTTCCATTACTAAGAACAGAAATCAAAATATCAGTTCATTATGAGGGTCAGAAGTGTTGGATATTTTCCAAAAGAGAAACAACAACAACAACAATCATAGCTAATGCTTATGGAACATCTACCAGGTGCCCGGATTCTTGCCAAACCCTCAACAAGAGGTATCTCATTTAGTCTTGACAACCATTTGAAATAAGAGCCACTGTTCTTTATCTTTTCACAGTGGGAGGACCTGGTTGTGTAAAGAGGTTAAGTAACTTTACCCAGGCACTGTGAGCAGCTGGGATTTAGCCAAACAGACTGGCTTCAGCACCTGGACCAGGGAGCTGTGGAATTAAGGCTCTGGTTTCTATCCAGCTGAATGACATTGGGGAGAATATTTTTAAAGGCCTCAATGTGCTCATCTGTAAAAATAACGGGGTTGTGATGGGTGATCTCAAAGATCCCCGCCAACTCTCTAGCAGCTCACCAAATTAATATCCAAATCAATATCCATCGCATCCACGGCACTGTTGCCATTCATTCCTACAGTTCACTGTAGGAAGTTAAGGGGTGGAGTGGAGCAGAGAGGGGGCAGGGAAATGGCTGCATTGTGAATCAAATGTTTTCCTAACAGGAGCAGCTGTTCCAACTGGCACAAGCCCCGGCAGGTACGATTGCTAGGTGACTACAGGAGTGAGATGGGAGCAGGGCCCACTCTTAACATGCCTCGTGTGGCTGCCACAGTTGATCCTTTAGTTGACCAGTTAATTTCTCCCTTGGAAGTGTCCTTACCGTCCGCATCAATCCCCAGTGCACTTCACATTGGCTGCGAGATCGCTTGCAGCACTGCAAGCAGGTGAACTCTGAGAACCCTCTGTAATGCGACCAGACCTGTGCTTTTCCTGGTTCCCCTGAATTACACTGGCTGATACTTCCAGGAATTCTGCAGCAGCCCTGGTGGTTTTGTTCTTTCTTCAGAAAAGGAAGTTGGAGAGGGGGTTGGGTGGGAAGGAGAATGAGAATCCTTTAAGTTCTTTGAAATGACCTCAAATCTGAGGTTGTCAGGCTTTTAAAGAGAGCCAGTAGGTAGTCACTCCACATATTGTAGATAATACTGTGTCAACAGCTCAAGTTATCTGAAGCTCTCTTTGTGAAATGGGACCCAACTTTTGCTCTCTGGGAACACTATCACATTTCTCTCTGGCATGCAAACTTAGGTGTGTTTGATGAAGGGAGCCTGCCTCTCCACTCCTGTGGGTATTTCTTGCAAGGTGGAGATGAGAGACTGAGAAAAGAAATAAGACACAGAGACAAAGTACAGAGGAAGAAAAGTGGGCCCTGGGGGACCGGCGCTTAGTAAGTGAGGACCAACACCGGTGCTCACTTACTCTGAGTCTCTGAGTTCTCTCAGTATTTATTGATCACTATTTTTCCTATCTTGGCGAGGGGAATGTGGTGGGGCTATAGGGTGAAGGTGGGGAGAGGGTCAGCAGAAAAACATGTGAGTAAAGGAATCTGTGTCATAAATAAGTTTAAGGAAAAGTGCTGGGCCTAAATGTACACGTAGGCTAGATTTATATTTAACTTTACATAAACATCTCAGTGCAGTAAAGAGTAGTATTGCTGCCATGATGTCTCACCTGTATCCATAAGGCGATTTTCTCTTAGAGTAGAATGTATGGTTGGTTTTACATTTGTCATTCCATTCCCAGGGACGTGCGGGAGACAGACGCCTTCCTCTTATCTCAACCGCATTGAGGCCTTCTTCTTTCACTAATCCTCCTCAGCACAGACCCTTTACGGATGTCGGGCTGGGGGGCTGTAAGGTCTTTCCCTTCCCACGAGGCCGTATCTCAGGTTGTCTCAGTGGGGGGAAACCTGGACAATACCCAGGCTTTCTTGGGCAGGGGTTCCTGCGGCCTTCCGCAGTGCATTGTGTCTCTAGTTAATAGAGAATGGAGAATGGCGATGACTTTTACAAAGCATACTGCCTGCAAACACATTTTTACCAAGGCACATCCTGCACAGCCCTAGATCCATTAAACCTTGATTCAATACAGCACATGTTTTTGTGAGCACAAGGTTGGGACAAAAGTTACAGATTAACAGCATCTCAAAGCAGAACAAAATGGAGTTTCTTATGTCTTCTGTTTTCTACATAGACACAGTAACAATCTGATCTCTCTTTCTTTTCCCCACATTTACTTCATCATATGATATCAACACTGACTCTTTCATGTAAAATGTCAGTCCTAGGTTCCTTCCACCCTTGTGTCCTGCCTGTGCCCCCAAGGGTGTAATTCTTTGTTCCCTCTTCCCATAGTCAGTGTGTGTGTGTGTGTGTGTGTGTGTGTGTGTGTGTGTGTGTGTGTGCGCGCTATATTCTGACACATCATTAGAATCTAAATTAATCTACCTTGTTATATTTTTCTGCCACTGATAATCTTCTACTTAGTCATGTTACAAATGTATTTTTTAAAGTAAGTGTTTGAAGAGACAGGGTCTCACTGTCGCCCAGGCTGGAGTGCAGTGCTGCCATCATAGCTCACTGCAGCCTTGATCTCCTTGGCTCAAGCAATCCTCCCGCCTCAACCTCCTGAGTAGCTGAGACTACACGTGCGTGCCACCATGCCTGGCACACATTCATTTTTCATTATCTGTGTCTGTATGTGCCCAGAGGTACAGATAACACTAAAATGAAAAGAGGTGGCAGAGAACAGGAAGAGAAAGAAACCAGAGGAGCCGATATCCTTAAATGCTGTGGCTCCTAAGGACTGCCAGCAGGTTGTGGGGCTAGCCAGAAAAAACAGAGCCTCTGATTCTAGAAGGCTTGGAGAAAGCGTGAGAAGGGAGATCAGATCAGAATAGATTGATGGAAGGGAAAGGCGGTGAGGGTGAAGCAAGAGAAACTCGGCTCCAGTGAAAAGGACCCATCATTGCATTCCAGAACGTAATTTGCATTTCATATGTAAATGAGGAGGCTTCCTAGAGGCTGGACTGGGCTGGGCTTAGCTGAGCCTTTGCAAACAGCAGGGATTCAACCCTGGGGAACTGCAGACCAAAGTGAGAGAGGGACGCACCGCATCTCCAGGCACATCCAAAAAGGATGGACGAGACACCGAAGCAGAGGATACAGGAGGATTAAAGGATTCAGGAAAGCAAGCAGCCCTCCGGAGAAGCTGTCGAAATTCAAGACTGGCAAGAGAAGCAAATTCAACCTCTCACACCGATCATTTCTCATTCCCTGAAAAGAAGAGATTGTTTCCCCAGGGAAGTGAAAATAATGAACTTTTGGAGGTACTGCTTTTTTGCTTTCACTCTGCTCAGCGTGGTCATTTTTGTGAGATTTTACAGTAGCCAATTGAGCCCGCCAAAAAGTTATGAGAAGCTGAACAGTTCCAGTGAAAGGTATTTTAGGAAAACTGCCTGTAATCACGCCTTAGAGAAAATGCCAGTCTTTTTGTGGGAAAATATATTACCATCACCTTTGCGAAGTGTCCCTTGCAAGGATTACCTGACCCAGAATCACTACATCACAAGTCCCCTGTCGGAAGAAGAGGCTGCATTCCCTTTGGCCTATGTCATGGTCATCCATAAGGACTTTGACACCTTTGAAAGGCTCTTTAGGGCTATCTATATGCCCCAAAATGTCTACTGTGTTCACGTGGATGAGAAAGCCCCAGCTGAGTATAAGGAATCTGTGAGGCAGTTACTGAGTTGCTTCCAAAATGCTTTCATTGCTTCAAAGACAGAGTCTGTGGTTTATGCAGGCATTTCCAGACTCCAGGCTGACCTGAACTGTCTGAAAGACCTTGTCGCCTCTGAGGTTCCCTGGAAGTACGTCATCAACACCTGTGGACAAGACTTCCCCCTGAAAACCAACCGGGAGATAGTTCAGCATCTGAAAGGATTTAAAGGGAAAAATATCACCCCAGGGGTGCTGCCTCCTGACCATGCAATTAAGCGAACTAAATATGTCCACCAAGAGCATACAGATAAAGGTGGCTTTTTTGTGAAAAATACTAATATTTTGAAAACTTCACCTCCACATCAGCTGACCATCTACTTTGGCACTGCCTATGTGGCGCTTACCAGAGACTTTGTCGACTTTGTTCTACGTGACCAAAGGGCCATTGATCTACTACAATGGTCAAAAGATACCTATAGTCCTGATGAGCATTTCTGGGTGACACTTAATAGGGTTTCAGGTAGGTACTAATTTCCATTCTGATTGATAGATTGAGTTTGCTAACATTCTGCTCGCCTAGAGAACTGACTCATTTGAAATTATTATGAAATAAATTTAAATACTTAGAAAACTATTAGTTTGGTTGCTTGTAGCAACAGTGTATTGCTGACTGTTGTCTTATCAATATGTGTGATATAGTGATCTAAGAAATGCTGGCTGCAGTCGCCCCAGCAAAACTAACTTTGATTACATAGTTGCTGAATTTTAACTGTTGTTTGAATTAATACTTTTCGTAGTCCTTGATAAACACAGCTGTAACAAACAAAATTGACTTTTAAAATAAGCATTCTAGAATTTAGGAGTTGAAATAGGTGATGTTTCTTTCGGACGGATGTTAGACATCGCTTTCATTGATGCAGTCTCATTGCTCAAAGTTCATGGAGCTGTTACAGGGGTACTTACTGGTTTTAGAATCTTGGAAGCTGCTTCGGATATTCACAAATCACCATTCTGGCTGAAACATCTCTGGTTTAAGATCTGAACAAGTAGCCAGGTCTCAGCTCTTCTTGTTTCTACAAATCTAACCTGATATTTTAGCCTGGAGGAGTGGGTAACAAAGAGTTGGAACATACGGAGAGAGAATCTAGCTACAGATGATCCAAAGAGAATTCTCAATTTTTAAGTCATAGGTTTTTATTGGACATTCCAATTTGCAGCTTCTTGTTTTTATATACTGTGCAGTCTTTGGTTGTTTATGATAATTTGGGAAAGCGTCCAAGGTATGCCAGGCAGCTGAGGCAGAAGATAGCACCAAGCTCCCTCGTTGGTTCAGGACTGGGTTTCTTTTCTAAACTCTGTTTCCCATAGGTGGTCTGTGACCTGCGTTACGTCTTTCCTGTGTGTCCCCACGTGCTTGTTTTCAACAGTGACCCAGCATGGTTGTGGGTGACTGGTGGTTCTCATGAGCACAGTGACCCCGACAAGCCTCACATACTTCCTGTCTACACACACACACTGCACAACCACACCACACATACATACACACCTGCCTGCCATTCTTGAAATAACTCCCAGCTCTTATGTCTAGTGTCATTATCATTGGCATACTTTCAAGTGCTGTTTGAAGCCACCTCTTGCCTGAAAGTAGACTCAATGCAGAAAGGTCCCCAATAACACGGCATTCCTAAGAGCTAAACTAGAGTGGTGGTCACAAAAATCTACTTAGAGAGGGACAGAAAGAGGATGGGCAAGGTGGCTGGAGACGAGAGAATTATGCTGTCTCATGCGCAATTTATTTTCAGAGATGCTAAACTGTCAGGTCACAAAGACTTGTAGGAGGGGTGGTGAACCAACATTTATCACAGTGGTGAGAGCGTTAACCCTTTCTTTACAATCACCTATTTTAAACGCATGTAAATACTGCATGCGTGGCATTTAATCTTATTTTTGTTGGTATAGTTGGTGATAGCCTACATCGTTCCTTTTAATGATAGGAAGTCATCGTGTTAGCCTCACGTACAGATGAAAAACATGAGGCTTAGAGAGACTGAAGCAATAGTATGTTCACGTTGTTCACATAGCTTTTCATAGGCAAAGCTGGAATCTGACCCTGCATTTGTGTGGCCTGAAGTGTGAGCCGTTTCTCTTGCACTAGGAAAAGAAGGAATGAGCATTTCTTTTTTCCTGTATATCTAAAGCAAATTTCCTGCAGAATCCCGAAAAAGGGAAAGGATTGAGGGTGTTTGGAAAAAATGAGGAGGGCTGTGGAAGGAAGTTTCACCTGATCACTTAGAGCTGGAGATGAGGTTAGCAGGGATATGGTGTGTGTGTGTGTGGTGTCCCAATATGCTTGTGTGGTGTGTGTGTGGTGTGTTTGTAGTGTGTGTGTGATGTGTGTGTGTGTGTGTGTGTGTGGTGTATGTGTGTTTGCAGTGTATGTGTGTGGTGTGTGTGTGGTGTGTATGTGTATGTGTGTGGGGTATGTGTGTTTGTAGCGTGTGTGTTGTGTGGTGTGTGTGTAGTGTGTGGTGTGTTTGTAGTGCGGTGTGTGTGTTTGTAGTGTGTGTGGTGTGTGTGTATGTATGGTGTGGTTGTGTGGTGTGGGTGTGTGTGTGGTGTGTATATGTGGTGTATGTGCGTGGTATGTGTATGGTGTGTGTGTGGTGTGTGTGTAGTGTGTGGCGTGTTTGTAGTGTGGTGTGTGTGTAGTGTGTGTGTGGTGTGTGTGTATGTGTGGTGTGGTTATGTGGTGTGGGTGTGTGTGCGTGTGGTGTGTGTGTGGTGTATGTGCGTCATGTGTGTATGGTGTGTGTGGTGTGTGTGTTTGCAGTGTATGTATCTGGTGTGTGTGTGGTGTGTATGTACATGTGTGGGGTGTGTGTGTTTCTAGTGTGTGTGGTGTGTAGTGTGTGGTGTGTTTGTAGTGTGGTGTGTTTGTAGTGTGTGTGTAGTGTGTGGTGTGTTTCTAGTGTGTGTTTGTAGTGTGGTGTGTGTTTGTAGTGTGTGGTGTGGGTGTATGTGTGGTGTGGGTGTGTGCGTGTCTGTGTAGACAGCAACTATGTGAGGCTTGTCAGGGTCACTGTGCTCATGAGAGTCACCAGGTGTCCTTTCTGGAAAGGATCCACCATCCCTCAAAGGCTTCTGTGCTGTCTCCGGGGTCCATCTGGAGCAGGCTTTGGTCTGGGCCAGTGGCAATGGGAAGTGGCCCTTGGTTCATGTTCTCAGAGAAGCTGGGGAGTAAGAAGCAACCAGGCAGATTTGAAAGGTCCCAAATTTTTAAAGTTTTCACTCCATCAGCTACCAATGTTAATACTTCCTTGTACATCTTTCCAGAGGTACTTTATTATGTTTATAGGTAATAAAACTGATTAAACGTGGAGAACATTACATATGGACTTTAAGTTCACTACAGATATACTCAGAAAAGGAAAAATGGTCCTTATTTTAGGTGCCATATTGTCTGTGAGAAACAAAATACAGCAAAATGTGTCTTTTATTTAAATACATCATATGCAGACATTTAAGAAGCTCTTTTTTCATTACTTTGTAGTATTTTTAAAGCTAGGTACAAGGAATTTTCTGGACCAAAGTTACCAGGGACCTTTGCCCCACAGCATCCAACCGCGATGAAGTGCAGAACTCTTGCTGATAGAACACCTACTATTCCCTTGCTCCAGGCTTTATAATGGCTTCTCCTGATCTTAAGGGACCCTTAAGGCTTGGCCGGGCAAGGTGGCTCCCACCCATAATTCCAATACTTTGGGAGGCCAAGGCAGGAGGATTGCTTGAGGTCAGGAGTTTCAGTCCAGCCTGGGCAACATAGTGAGATCCCTGTCTCTACAAAAAATTTAAAAATTAGCTGGGCATAGTGGTGCATGCCTGTAGTCCCAGTTACTCAGGAGGCTGAGGAAGGAGGATTGCTTAAGCCTGAAAAATCAAGGCTGCAGTGAGCATGACTGCACCACTGCACTCCAGCCTGGGTGACAGAGTGAGACTCTGTCTCAAAAAAAAAAAAAAAATGCTAGGCTTAAGCTCTTCATGTGGCATGACTTCCAGGACCTGGCCCCCCACACCCTCTGTCTCTACCCTCATTTCTCTTTATTTGATGCCTCATACTTTATGTTCCAGCAACTACTTGGCCCCACACTTCTGCAATTTTCACCTATTTTTTTTTTTTTGAGATGGAGTCTTGCTCTGTCGCCAGGCTGAAGTGCAGTGGCGCGATCTCAGCTCACTGCAACCTCCGCCTCTCAGGTTCAAGCGATTCTCCTGCCTCAGCCTCCCGAGTACATGGGATTACAGGTGCCCACCACCAAGCCCGGCTAATTTTTGTATTTTTAGTAGAGACATGGTTTCACCATGTTGACCAAGATGGTCTCGATCTCCTGACCTCATGATCTGCCCGCCTCGGCCTCCCAAAGTGCTGGGATTACAGGCATGAGCCACCGCGCCCGGCCTAATTTTGACCTATCTTTTTATGGCTTTTTAATGACATCCTCTCATAAAGAATGTCCTTCGTGTTTGATGCCCTTCCTGTCTAACTCTTCATCCTTTATGTCTAACTCTGTCTAACTCTTCATCCTATATGGCCCACCTTGGAAGTCACTTCCTCTGGATGCCATGTCTGATCACCTTCCTCCCAGATCGTGTTTCAACTCTGGGTTCTCCTGGACCTAATGCCACTGCTGCCAGCATTGAATTGTAGTCACCTATTAACTGAATAGCTCTTCTACCAGACCTCCTCAGTATTTGAGCTCCTTAAGCATAAGAAAAGTGACATCTGTCTTTGTGTTCTCCACCACTACTCCTACGCTGCATGCATCACTATGCACCTGCCTGATCTGATGATATGCAGGGTGCTAGATGGATGTGGAAGGGTCGGGAGGGGCAGGAATGTGCTGGAGAGTTCTGAGAAGATGGGCAGAACCTATGAAAGTGTACCCTGTACCTAGGATGGGGGATAATTTTTGGTAGTAGGGATTGGAGAAACAGTAGGTAAAACTCCACAATGGCCAGGCCAACAAATGATATCAGTAAATATGAGAGAGTCCTGAAAGAATTAGCGAGCCCCACTTTATTCCAGATAAAATGTTAATGGGATAGAGTCTTTCCTTAGAAAATGTGGCTCCCACACAGCCAACCTGGGCCCATGATGCAGTCGGATTCTGATGCCAAGAGAAAGTCACAGCAGGCGGCGTATGCAGACGCCTCCACTTAGTTTCTGCCTTCCTTGCACCTGGTGTGAGTTTCTTCCACACCTGCCACCCACTCCCTCCTCCTGCTAGTACCACTCCCGGGCTACTCACATTCATGCACTGGGCTTCTTCTCACTTAATTTAATGTAGACTTCTCCTGAATTGTTGGCTTAGGAAAAAAACCAAGACTATAAGAATATGAGAGGCTAAGAAGAGACAACAATAGAAAGAAACTCAAAACGTCTCTCCAGCTCTCAACAACTGTAAACACTGAGCTATTTAGAAGGTATATGTTCTCTGCAGGAAGGTCACTGGGACCTTACGTCTGGGTGTGGCTGAATCAGTCCCAGTCTTTTTCAAAGTATGCATTGTGTTCTCTCTACATCAGCCCAGACTTTGAATTCAGTTTCTAGGACCACAAAGGATTCATTCACTCATGCTGATTGGACCCGTGACTGAGAATTAATTACAAACGTTGAATGATGGGGTAGAATCATGTCTTAACAAACGTCACCAGGACGTTCGAGTCTAAAATAACGCTACTTGGGGGGGCTGGAGGACAATCCACACTGACATTTGTCTTGTCAATATGGAGATAAATTCTGGCTGAAGGAGAAATTCCACAAAACAGATACTTCCATAGGTTCGTATCCATTGAACAGACTCTTAAAATAATATTTTTGGATAGCCAGATGATATTAAGTATGCATAATAAATGAGAACATGATTTTCAAAATATTGCGTTAGTGATGTGGACCAGTCTGGCTTATTTAACCTCTTCAGTAAAGGGCTCTAGGCTCTTCCCAGGTCAGTAATTCAGGTAGGATCACAGGGGAAGATTTTAATTTACAATGTAT
This sequence comes from Homo sapiens, assembly GCF_000001405.40. Lineage (NCBI taxonomy): Eukaryota > Metazoa > Chordata > Mammalia > Primates > Hominidae > Homo > Homo sapiens. Next base: position 10,592,447 of record NC_000006.12, read on the forward strand.
CCCAGCTCTTGTGAGCACCTAGATTGATGGGTCTACATCATAAGATGCTGGGCTCCTGGTAGAGAAACCTTAGGCAGGTTATAAAGTATTTACACAGTAAATTATGCTGACGCTATAGCCATTTGTAGAATCATTTGTGACGTTTCCAGCCACTGGCTCCATTGTACTATTTGGGAAGGATCATCTCCTTCATTGGAGAATCTGTACCCTAACATTTCTGTTCGCCACCCCTAAAAAGGAAATAATTGGGAAACGCTACTCTTAATGAGCTCTTTTATTTTTATTTGTTTGTTTGTTTGTTTGTTTATTTATTTGAGACAGAGTACCACTCTGTCGCCAGGATGGAGTGCAGTGGTGTGGTCTCGGCTCACACAACCTCTGCCTCCCAGGTTCAAGCAATTCTCCTGCCTCAGCCTCCCAAGTAGCTGGGACTACAGGTGTGTGCCACCATGCCCAGCTAATTTTTTCATATTTTTAGTAGAGATGGGGTTTCACCATGTTGGCCAAGGTGGTCTCGATCTCTTGACCTCGTGATCCACCCACCTCAGGGTCCCAAAGTGTTGGGATTACAGGCGTGAGCCACCACGCCCAGCCTTAATTAGCTGTTAATTCCTAATCTCTAGAACAACATTTTATAAAACAAGACAAATTGGATTAAAGTATATATTAGTATAAAGTATATATAAAGTGAATATTGAATTAAGTATAAGTACAATCATGATTGGTAAACATCTACTAAGCTGAACTGAACATGAATTTAATTCTAGCGGAAAGGATGAGCATTCTTTCTACTGCTTTAGAACCGGCAAGATCATTTCTCCAACTCATTCATCCTCCTGTCATTCCTTATCGATTGTATAAGACAGTTTTTTCTAGAAGCAGGAGTTGTTTTTGTCTTTGTTTTGTTTTGAGATAGGGTCTCCCTCTGTCACCTAGACTGGAGTGCAGTGGCATTAATTTAGCTCACTGCAGCCTCAGCCTTCTGGGCTCAAGTAATCCTCCTGCCTCAGGCTGCCAAGTAGCAAGGACTACAGGTATGCACCACTACACCTGGCTCATTTTTAAATTTTGTGTAGAGATGGGATCTCGATATGTTGCCCAGGCTGGTCTCAAACTCCAGGGCTCAATTGATTCTCTCCTCAGCCTCCTACAAGTGCTGAGATTACAGGTGTGAGCCATTGCACCTAGACAGTTGTCTTTGTTTTAAATGAAGTATTGCATTTTGATGGCTTCTAAAAACAATAAAATATTAGTGGTATATCAAAGCTATATATAATTGATATATGTATATATCAATGTCCATAGTACAATGATCAATATATACTCGACGTCTAAATTATCTCTTGAAAATACATATCTCTTCCCTATTTCTCTTTACACAATACAAAAGCATCTCCTTCCATCCTCCTTTGTTTGAGCCCACATGCTATCAGGTAAACGACTTTGGAGACAGACGTAGTGTAAGTCTGTCCTCCCAATACTTGCCAACTGTGTGACACTGGTGTTAGTTTACACTGAGCCTTAGTTTACTCATCTGTGATGATGGAGATAATAAATAGTACTTAGTTCCCAGAGAAGTTGTGAGTATTAAATAAGCTAATGCATATAGTACAGGGGTTCCTAGACTTGGCCATGCCTCAGAACCTTCTGCAGGTCCTGTTAAAGCACAGATTTCTGGGCCCTACCCCGAAGTTTCTGATTCAGCAGGTCTGGAGCAGTCCCCAGAATTTGCATTTCTAACAGTTTCCTGGGTTATCCTGCAGCTTCTCATCTGGGGGCCACACTTTGAGAACTGCTGACACGGACCATCTTTTACAGAGACTGGCACATGTATAGATTTGCAGCAAATGCCGATTCTGTTCATTTCCAACCACCAGTAAAAATAAAAACTAGTTGATATAAGGAAAAGCTTTATGGTGTTGATTGCATATGGCAGACTTCATGAAAGTGGTATGCAAATAACTGATATTTGGGATGTACTCATATTAAGGATATATTATGGGCTCTGGAGTGAGACAAATGCAATATTGAATTTTAGCTTTATCTCCGTTAGTTTGATGACCTTGTGTACTCTGACCTAAAACTCTTCATTTTGTAGTCACAATAATGATGGCTACTTAGTAAGGCTGTTTTGAGAATTAAATTTTAAAAATGGGGTAAAATGACAGGTTAGGTGTTTATCCACTTATTAATGTGAACATTTATTAAGAAAAACCTACATGTGGTCTTGTGTTCCTACACTAATGAGATCCTCAAGGTGTTGAATAAAAGCAATTTAAATCTCACTATAGAAGGATGTCTATGCCATGGCTCACCAACCATATAAAACTAGATGTAGATGTACCCAAAGATGGATAGGAGGAAATGTGTAAAGTAAATTGACATGTTCAGGTGGATACCAGTTCCTTTTTTTTTTGAGATAAGGTCCCTGCTCTGTTCCCCAGGCTGGAGTGCAGTGGTGTGATCACGGCTCACTGTAGCCTCGACTTCCCAGGCTCAAGCAATTCTCCCACCTCAGCCTCCCCAGTAGCTAGAACTATAAGCCTGCCTCACCATGCCCTGCTAATTTTTAATTTCTTGTCGAGTCGGGGTTTTACTATGTTGCCCAGACTGGGATATCTGTTCTTGATCATTTTGATTTCCATTAGTGTTATTGATGTACTTTTTATGACCACCAAAAAGCTTCACTTACCCCTTACATAACACTATGAAATGTGTATTATCCATTAGAAGAGTGTTTCCTTAAAAACATGAAGGATGTCAATGCTATCTATTTTTGAAATCAGTCATATCACAGGAAAGGAGCAGGAATTGTGTTGCTTTATTTTCTTTCTTTTTTTTTAATTTTTTGAGACGGAGTCTTGCTCTGTCCCCAGGCTGGAGTGCAGTGGCGCGATCTTGGCTCACTGCAAGCTCTACCTCCTGGGTTCACGCCATTCTCCTGCCTCAGCCTCCCAAGTAGCTGGGACTATAGGTGCCCGCCACCACACCCAGCTAATTTTTTGTATTTTTAGTAGAGATGGGGTTTCATCGTGTTGGCCAGGATGGTCTCGATCTCCTGACCTCGTGATCTGCCCATCTCGGCCTCCCAAAGTGCTGGGATTACAGGCGTGCCACTCTGCCCGGCCGGTTGGTTGGGTTGCTTTCTTTTCTTAAGCCGTACCATGTTCCAGAAAGGACTTAAGATGTCATAATATAATTTCTTGGGAAAGGAAATCAACATAGCCAAGATCTGAAAAAAAATGAGAGCCTTTTCACAATTATTCTATGTAGGTTTTGACTGGCTTGGCCACATCTTCCCATTTTGAGTGTTTGGCTTCCTCAGTGTTAAAACAAATTTTGCCCATCCTCTTTGCAGAGGAGTAATTTTTAAACTCTAATAGAAAAACTTATAAACACACACAACAGTGCAGAGAACAGTACTGTAATCCTCACATGCCCATCAGCCAGTTTCGACAATCATCAACTTGTTATGCAAACTCAAAGCAAAAAAACCGAAAATGTATGACAAATCTTTGAGTTGACACTATAATTCTCATAAATAAGTAGCTTCCTCTTTTCAAAGAAAATGCAAAATTCTGATATTCCAGACTAAGGCTTTCTCCTCATCCCATAATAACAGTTCACTGAAAAGTAAAAATATTTTTATCCAACTTCACCTTTTAGGCTATACTACATGAACCGGACTGAGTTTTCTTTTTCTTTGTTTTTCAGCAACAAAGCTGAATCTACAAGCACAAGCTCTTTAGGCATTCAAAGTAGGAGGCAGAATGCGGTTTGTTAAGATTTCCATTCAGCTGGGTGCAGTGACTCACACCTGTAATCCTAGCACTTTGGGAGGCCTAGGCGGGTGGATCACTAGGTCAGGCATTCAAGACCAGCCTGGCCAACGTGGTGAAACCCCGTCTCTACTAAAATACAAAAAGTAGCCAGGCGTGGTGGTGCATGCCTGTAATCCCAGCCACTCAGGAGGCTGAGGCAGGAGAATCACTTGAACCCAGGAGGCGGAGGTTGCAGTGAGCTGAGATTGCGCCACTGCACTCCAGGCTGGGCAAGAGAGTGAGACTCCATCTCAAAAAAAAAAAAGATTTCCATTCTCTTGGCCTCCGTTTTTCTGGAGGAAAAATGGGAAGGAGTATGGTACTAAGAGTAGAAGATTGGTTAGTGGGGTACACTGGTATCCCACTGTATGGTTAGTGGGGTACACTGTTTCCTGTGTATCCCTCTAACCATTAAAGTTCCCTTGTTTTCATCTCTTCTCCAGACTGAATATTCTGTTTCCTCTATTAAAAAAAAAAAAGACAATGAGTCCAAAGTATGTTTGAATATAGAATTGACACGATGATATTTTGCCTTCAGCCAAATCTGAATGTATTTTCCATTACTGCGTATTCTCACAGAGGCTTCTCTATGAGATTCATTGTTGTTAATTTTTCACATCTGTAATTTAATTTGAGATGCCTCAGTTATTAAGTTATTAAGCCTCGTTACTTTGCATGAGGTCTTTGATCTTGCAGCGTGATGTGGATGAAAGAATACAAACTTTGGAATAGGACAGATCTTTTGAATCCTAGGCCTCACTACTTAACAGCTTGTCAGTCACTGAACAAGTTATTTAACCAAACTGAGCCTCAGTTAATTTTGGTTTTAGGACATTAAAGAAAGTTTTTAAGGTGTTTGAGAATTTATTAGAAAGTAGGAATTGCCTTTTTTTTTTTTTTTTTTTTGAGACACGATCTTACTCTATCACCCAGGCTGGAGTGCAGTGGCATGATCTCGGCTCACTGCAACCTCTGCCTCCTGGGCTCAAGCAATTCTCGTGCCTCAGCCTTCCGAGTAGCTGGGACTACAGGTGTGCCCTACCATGCCAGGCGAATTTTTTGTATTTTTAGTAGAGACGGTTTTGCCATGTTGCCCAGGCTGGTGTCAAACTCCCGAGCTCAAGCAATCTGCTTGCCTCAGCCCCCCAGAGTGCTGGGATTATAGGTACTAGCCACCACGCCCGGCCAGGAATTGTCTTAATTCAACTTCCACCCCATAAAATATATCTGGAATTGGTCTGGAGACAGTCTTATAGCAGTGACTACGACTTGCTAACATTTCTTTTCAAAGATATTTGTAAAAGGGCTAGAAGAATCTCTGGGTGTCTCCAAGGCTATGAGGGTTTTTGTTGTTGTTGTTGTTTTGCTTTTTTTGTTAGAGATGGGGTCTCACTCTGTTGCCCAGGCTGGTCTTGAACTCCTGGGCTCAAGCAATCCTCTCACCTTGTCCTCCCAGAGTGCTGGGATTATAGGCGTGAGCCACCACGCCTGGCCAGGATGTGAGTGTTGATGACCCCAGAAGACACTAAGGATTGGAACAGTAGCTCATGAACTTTGACTTTTTAAACACTTCACACTGCACAGTTAAAAACAGTAGAATACTAAGCAAATGGAAAGTAAGGATTATGAGCCATGCGTGAATGTTTAATTTTCTTTTTTTAAAAAAGTGCTTTCGAGTACTGTGTAAGAGAGGCTAGTGACTTAGATACCCACACTATACAATTCTGTTCTAAATTTTAACCTTTGTCTGTAGATAACTGTTTGGCCTTGGGCATGTCACTTAACCTCTCTGGGCCTCAGTTTCCTCATGTGTAAAATGAGGAAATTGGGCTAGGTCATCTCCGAAGAGATTCCTGTATTATTTTGCTTTAACTCTGGAGCATGCAGTGAAAAAAGCAGAAGTATTTGAGGCAGGCAGACTTAGGTTTTGTTTCCCTGCTGTCAGATCTTGAGCAATTAACGTATCTTAACATGGGCTTCCGGTGACTTATCTGTAAATTGAGGACAATACCAATTTCATGAGATTGTTGTGAGAGTTACAGACTATGGGGGTATATCTCCCCTCTCAGCCATTGTTAATTCAGTTATCACCTCCATCTCTCCCCCTTCTCCCTCTCCACGGTATATTAATGTCATGACATTCCTATTTATATTACACCGTGGACAGTAGGATTAATGAAACAATGGCCTCTGGGCATTGAATTTCTCTCTTTGTCACGGTCACTGTGTCCACATCTGGATGCCAACCACCACTACTGCTACAATGTAGAACTCAGGCCAGCCACCCTAGGCAGTGTGTGGGGGTGATTTTTGTGCTGTAAAATTCTGACCAAAGGAGGAAACTGAGTACCAAGTACTTACACAATATCTTCACCTCTCTGATTGTTCTTAATGTAGCACATTTCCCCTTGTTTCCAAGAGTATTTTCTCGATGTGCCCAGGGACGCTGAGCTGGACAAGGCTAGTGTAGTGTATTCAGTGCTGGGGAGGGAAGGGGCCCTCTGGAGCCGGATCATTTGGCTTCCAATCCAGCTTTGCAGATTCCTAGTGTGTGTGACGTGAGGCTAATTATGTTCTCTCTCTGATTCTCAGTTTCTGTATATGTAAAATGGAGATACTAACATTACCTACCACTGTGCAAATGAAATGTATGAATACATATCAAGTGCCTGGAATGGCGCATGGTGCCTAGTAAGTGTAAATAAGTGTTGTATTTATTCCACCCAATTGCCCTCGTTAAGGGGAAAATTAGCAATGAACAATTTCCCCTTGTTAAGGTGCTAGAAAAAATGCAGTCCCCCAAAGTGCCATTACAAAGGGTCTGGAAGATTTTCTGAAACTCAGACAAAAGCAGCTTGAATTCCCTCCGTCCCTCAGCTTCCCATAGTACCAGAGCTCATCCTGCACAAGGAATGAGAGGAGCAGAGTAACTAAGAATCTGGCATTGGTGAGTGGGATCGATTGTACCAGGTGCGCTGTTCACAGGCGCGTCAGTCCACGTACTGCAACGCTAGGAAACACAGGGAGCCAACAGCAATCCCAGGCCAGTGTTAACTGACTCTTGAAAAGAGAAAACCTAACAATTCCCAAATAACCTGAATCTTCTCTGTGTCTACCTCAGTAAAATATGTGGTGTTGTTTCCACCAGAATGAGGGAGCACCTGAACCAGACTGAAACCGGGTGTTTCAGTGAGAGGCATCTTGCCCATCTCCCTATCAGCTTCCATCTATTGTATCCCAGCGGAGGTAAGAGCAGGAGACAGTGTGCCGTATGAATTAGACATGAGGCCATGTACCTTCAGAGTCCGCCAGTGGTCCCCAGAGAATTGAGAGCTATGGTAGAATGAAGACGGTAGCTTCCCCTCTCTCCAAGAGTAGGGGGCTCACATCATGGCTTCTTGTAGCTTACGATCTTGGACAGATCTTTTCAATTCTCCACACTGGGTTTTCTCAGCCAAGGAATGATAATAACTGCTAATCTCATGGTGGCAAAGGAGGAGAAGGCACATGCTGTGAGCCATGAATTATGAACTCTTTAATAACTTATAACTCATTAATTCTAAAGCCAAGAGCATCACTCCTGGCACATAGAAAGAGGAAGGTTGTGGTGATGAAGTTTTTTTGAGTGGAAGATATGAAAGAAGCAGAAACTCAGGCTCCTTCAGGAATAACAGAATGATTTTGTGAAGTGGAATGTGTAATCCTGTGCTGGGGTTGGAAGGGATACTCTCATCATTTAAAGTGGAGAAACCAGGCACAGGGAGACGAAATGATTTGTCTGTGTTGCATGATTTAGCAGCTGAACCTGGCCACAAAGATAAGACTTTTAAGTCCTTCAAGACAATAATCTTTCTATATTTAGTGCTTCTTATAATTTCTTTCTGAAATGTCATAGATATCTGAGCAAAGGGGCAGTATGAATATTTTGGTGTCTATACTAATACTGAAATTTGGGTTTCAATGACAGGATTCTTAAAAAGTGTTCAGAATTTATGGGAAAAGAGTGCATATCAATATTACATCAAAGTCTTATAGGTATACTATATAATACAGTTTTTGAAATGTATACATTTACCATAAAGGAGATCCGTTCTGTTTTACATTGTTGTTGATTTTGAAGCAGCTTCTTTGTATTCTTTAATTTATATACATACAGTTCACTCTCTTTAGTGTGCAGTTCCGTGTGTTTTGATAGTGGTATAGAGTCACGCATCCACTACCGCCATCAAGAACAATTCCGCCAGTTCCCAAAATTCCCTCATGCTGCCCCTGGGAGCCAACCCCTACCCCCAGTGTCCCCTTGCCAAATCCTGACCTGTTCTCCATCCCTGCTGCTTGCCTTTTCCGGAAAGTCATATTTTTATCATAGCGTATGTAGCCATTGAGGGCTGAGAAAGCGCTGCTGCTTCTTCTTTCTTTTCTATTAATGAATGCCTTTTGTATGTTACAAGGTGCTCGTGAGGGTCTCTCTTAGATCCTCAGGCAGTTTTATTTTTATTTATTTATTTATTTATTTAGAGACAGCATCTCATTCTGTTGCCCAGGCTGGAGTGCAGTGATGCGATCTTGGCTTATTGCAGTGGTGCAATCTTGGCTTATTGCAGCCTCCACCTCCCAGGCTTAAGCAATCCTCCCACCTCAGCCTCTTGAGTACGTGGGACTACAGGCGCATGCCACCACACCCAGCAAATTTTTTGTATTTTTTGTAGAGATGGGGTTTCGCCATTTTGCCCAGGCTGGTCTTGAACTCCTGGACCCAAGCAATTCACCTGCCTTGGCCTCCCTAAGTGCTGGGATTACAGGCATGAACCACCGCTCCCAGCCCTCTGGTAGTTTTAATATCTATTGAGTATTGGTTCCTTTTGCCCTGCTTTTCTTTTTCCATGTTATTTGTTTTGCCCATAAATAACAGAAGCAGCTGGGCCCGTTATTTTTTTGAAAAAGTAGGGCTATTCTTAGTAATATTATTCATTTGGGGCAATAAACTAAAAGTAAGTACAGCATTTAATTATGTAATTAAACTTGTACTTTTATTACCTTTGATTTTTCAATATCAGTGATTCAGAATGAATAGTAGAAACACCGTGAACTTAATTGGAAGAACAAGAACAACCAAAAGTGTGTCCCACTTTTATTCTGAAAACACATGTGACAGACTCATAAAAGTTGCCATCAATCAATCAGATCATACAAGAGCATCATGGTGAGCATGCCACAACGCCCCAGTATGGTTTCTTATCAGAATTCTTACAGGAAAAACTCTGCTTAGGTTTGCAGATGGCTCAATGGTTTATTTTTTCCTATAAATTGAATATATTAGTCATTGGTCTTGATCTGAAGATGTCCATAATTCTGTTTCTAAAATATTCAAGTATTTAAAAGTAAAGCCCTTGGCCAGGCGCAGTGGCTCACGCCTGTAATCTCAGCACTTTGGAAGGCTGAGGCAGGTGGATCACAAGGTCAGGAATTCAAGACCAGCCTGGCCAAGATGATGAAACCCCCGTCTCTACTAAAAATACAAAAATTAGCCGGGCGTGGTGGCGGGTGCCTGTAGTCCCAGCTACTCAGGAGGCTGAGGCAGGAGAATGGCGTGAACCCGAGAGGCGGAGCTTGCAGTGAGCTGAGATCATGCCACTGCACTCCAGCCTGGGCAACAGAGCGAGACTCCATCTCAAGAAAAAAAAAAAAAAAAACAAAAAAAACACTAAAGCCCTTGATGCCGGAAAACTGGATACTGGAAACTGCCACTGCAGTCCCTAAATCAGCCCTAGGCAGAGGAGAGGGTACGAGGGCAAACCACTGAAGAGGCCAACATTTCTTTGCAGTCTCATTGCTTTATTTTACAAAGTTATTTAAATATTACATTTCTGTCTACTCTATAACTTTTGTAAACTTTTTATTGCAATATAATCCTATATACAGAAAATTGCACATACCAGAATTGAACAGATCACTGAAGTTTTACATTGCTCTTACCTGTATGCACAGCTCAAGAAACCATGTTCCTGGTACTCCTAGGACCCCCTACCCCACAAGGGCTCCTTCCCAGACACGTCCAAGATTAACAGTGGTCCTGACTGCATTAATTATGTGTGTGTTTTTGTGTCGCTGTGTAACTTCTAACGGAAGCCCAGGGCTTTTCATCCAAATGTCCAGGTTAAATGGGTATTTCAGGAAGAAGTGCCAGGCCTAGGTTATTTGTAGAATAAGACTGTAAACAGAACTGCCCTGCTGTTCTTTATAAAACATTAGGCTTGCAATAGATAGGGACTTAGTTCCCAGACTTAGCAATCTATATATACTGTAGTACATGCAGCAACAAATGGAATTTACCATTGACCTTAAACAACTTTTGACCTGTCTCGGTTTGCAAATAGGGGTTAAAATTAAACAAGAGTCGTAAGTGAGCATAATTTCTTACTTGGCTGCTCGTACATGGAATTGGAGGGAAGGTTTTACAAGTTGTGAATGAATTCTGCATTTATATCTAGCTGGGTGCAGCCTGGTGCCTTGTTTTGAAGGTGAAGAAGGCACTGTGTGCAGGGCAAGATGAAAATTTGTCTGGTGGAGTCATTAAGAACTTTTCCCCCGGTTACAAACAAAACAGTTCAGGGCAAACTGTGTTCTATTGATTTCAGACAGAGAGACGACCCTGCTGTGAGAGGCAAATCAATGCTGTACTTTTATTTGAAAGAGTCAGTAAAACCTAGGAAATGCCACCTGAAATGCAAAATACCTAGGTCAAGCTGTGAACAAACACATCTGAATAAATAGATGGCAGAAAAAGCTTATTACTTGATGTTCAAGTGCTGCAAACAACAGAATCTCTCATTTCTGGAATCCAATAAAACTTAAGTCCTAAAGAGGCAGTTTTTGAACTCAAAAACCCATCAAAGTGATAAACGTGTACATGAGTGACGCCTCACCTCATTTAATGTAAGGAAACCTCATACATCTCAATGGTACAGGTCCCTTGTAAAAGGTTGTTTTCAATCTATGTTCAATGTAGGTTAGTCAGCTATTTAATAGTTACGTTATTGTCATAAGCTCACATGGAAGTATTTCTTTGTCTGGAAGATGTTTTATGAAATGGTATTTTCTTCCCTTTTTTTCTGCCATTGGAAGAAAACTTTAATGTTATTCACAGTTGCCCTAGAAACAAGAGGCACTGCGCACCACACAGCGCCACGGTGGGAAGCACCCGTGTCAGTCCAGATGCAGACAGGGGAGGGAAAGACATAAGCCACAGTCTTTTTTTATTTTTTTGAGACAGAGTCTCTCTCTGTTGCCCAGGCTGGAGTGCAGTGGTGCAATCTCAGCTCACTGCAACCTCCGCCTCCTGGGTTCAAGTGATCGTTGTGCCTCAGCCTCCTGAGTAGCTGGGACTGCAGGCGCCTGCCACCACACCTAGCTAATTTTTGTATTTTAGTAGAGACGGGGTTTCACCATGTTGGCCAGGCTGGTCTTGAACTCCTGGTGTCAAGTGATCCACCTGCCTCAGCTTCCCAAAGTGCTGGGATTACAGGTGTGAGCCACTGTGCCTGACAGTCTTTTTTTTTTTTTTTTTTTTTTAATAATGCTATCTTAAGGTTTTTGTTTGCTTGTTTGTTTTTTGGTTTGTTGTTTGTTTGTTTGTTTGTTTGTTTTGAGATGGAGTCTTGCTCTATCACCAGGCTGGAGTGCAGTGGTGCAATCTTGGCTCACTGCAACCTCCGCCGCCCCGGTTCAAACGATTCTCTTGCCTCAGCCTCCCATGTAGCTGGGATTACAGGCGCACGCCACCACGCCCGGCTAATTTTTTTGTATTTTAGTAGAGATGAGGTTTCACAATGTTGGCCAGCATGGTCTCGATCTCCTGACCTCATGTGATCCGCCCGCTTCGGCCTCCCAAAGTGCTGGGATTACAGACGTGAGCCACCGCGCCCAGCCTATGCTTTCTTAATGATTGTTACTTGTAGGTATTAGATTTCATAATGTGTTTTTTTATTTGATCTTTGTTTTTTGTACTTTAATGTATTATTTGAAATTATTCTAATAACCACTGTCCTATTTGGCAGAAGTTACAGAATAATAGTTTTAAGAGAAAATAAGTAAAGACTCACAAGGTAAATATGCCAAAATGCTAACACTAGCTAATTTGAGGGAGTTGGAAAATAAACAATTGGCTACTTCTTTGAACTTTTCTGTACTTTGAAAATCTCCAAGACTTAAAGAAAGTTGCTGTATTTGGTGAAAAATAAACTCTCTCCTTACTGAGACATAATACTTGGTGCTTTAGTGCTATAGATAATACTATGAAGTATTATCTCTGGGCCAGGTGTGCTGGCTCACGCTTGTAATTCCAGCACTTTGAGAGGCCAAGGCAGGTGGGTGTCTCAAACCCAGGAGTTTGAGACCAGCCTGGGCAACATGGTGAAACCCCATTTCTACGAAAAATACAAAAATTAGCCAGGCACGGTGGCACATCCAGCTAGTCCCAGCTACTTGGGAGGCTGAGGTGGGATCACTTGAGTCTGGGGAGGTTGAGGCTGTGGTGACCTGTGATTGCACCACTGCAGTTCAGCCTGGGTGACAGAGTGAGACCTTGTCTCAAAAAAAAGAAAAAGAAAAAGAAAGAAAAATGTATTATCTTTATAAAAAAGATGTTCAATAAAAGACTTCTATGAAGAACAGGTATTCCTAGCCCAGGCAACATAGCAAGACCCTGTCTCTATAAAAAAATTTAAAAATTAGCTGGGCATGGTGGTGCATACCTGTGGTCCCAGCTACTTGGGATGCTGAGGTGGGAGGATCACTTGAGCTTAGGAGGTGAAGGCTGCAGTGATCCATGATTGCGCCATGTGCTCCAGCCTGGGAGACAGAGTGAGATCCTATCTCTTTAAAACAAAAAACAAAAAACAGGTGTTCTCAACCTTAACCACATATTGCTTTCATGTAGGAATTTTTTTTTTTTTTTTTTTTTTTTTGAGACAGAGTCTCACTCTGCCACCCAGGCTGGAGTGCAGTGGCAAAATCTTGGCTCACTGCAACCTCTGCCTCCCAGGCTCAAGCCATCCCCCTACCTCAGCCTCTCAAGTAGCTGGGACGCACAGTACCACGCCTGGCTTTTTTTTTTTTTTCTTTGTAGAGACAGAATTTCATCATGTTGCCCAGGCTGGTCTTGAACTCCTGGGCTCAGGCGATTCATCTGCCTTGGCCTCCCAAAGTGCTGGGATTACAAGCGTGAGCCACTGCACCTGACCATCTAGGATATTTTAAAAAAATACCAATGTCTGGGCCCCACCTCCACCCAGGTATTCAAAATGCCTGGGAGATGGGGCCCTGTCATTGGTACTTTTAAAAAGTTCCATAGATGATTCTAAAATGGCAGCCACAGTGAGGAAACGCTGGTACACATGAAAGCTAGCGTCAGGGATAAAAACCGAAGAATGGAATTTACTAGTTTGTTGACTTGGCCCTCATTTATTCCCTACCATTTGCACCTGCTATCTACTTTGTAAAAGAAAAAAAAATCAGTTAAGATTTTCCTGGGAAAAAAAGAACTTCCTAAACTTGGTGGCTTGAAAAAAGTTTTTTTGTGATTCTTTGAGTTCTTCTGATCAAGGCCAGCTCCACTAGGGCTAGATGGTCTCGGATGGTATCACTCACCTGACCTGGCGTTCTCCCCAATGATCTCTCCTTCTCTGATGGGCTTGCCTCAGCTGCTTCACTTGATGGCCTCAAGGAGAGGACAAGCCCTGGTCAACAAATGTTTTTTAAGTCTTTGGCCAGGTGCGGTGGCTCACGCCTGTAATCCTAGCACTTTGGGAGGCCAAGGCAAGCAGATCACCTGAGGTCAGGAGTTTGAGACCAGCCTGGCCAACTTGGCGAAACCCTGTCTCTACTAAAAATACAAAAATTAGCCGGGTGTGGTGGTGCATGCCTGTAATCCCGACTACTCGGGAGGCTGAGGCAGGAGAATCGCTTGAACCCAGGAGGCAGAGGTTGCAGTGAGCCAAGATCACGCTATTGCACTCCAGCCTGGGTGACAGAGTGAGGCTCCTTCTTGTCAGGTTTGCTAATGTCCCATTGGCCAAAAGCAAGTCACATGGCCAAAACTAGATCCAAGAGGTAGAGAAACATTTTCCCCCTCTTAATGGAAAAGCTGCAAAGTCATACTGAACAATGACTGCATATAGCAGTGAGACAGACACATTTGTGACCATCTTTTGCAGCCTGCCACAACAAATCAAAATATATCCTTGTTTAGCAGAAACATATGATAAAGCAAGATATTTATTGGGATCTCTTTTAAAAATGAGTTTTTTCTAGTTAATTTTGAGAATGTACCTTTAACTTCCATTAAAGAAATTTAATGGAAATTTCCATTAAAGAAATTTAATGGAAATTTCCATTAAAGAAATTTAATAGTGGTTGAGAAATTTTTAAAATCGCCACCTGCCCAGCAGTGGTCATAAAAGTAACATTTTAAAAATAAAATGCAGAAAACGATAAAGACTAAAATAAAAATCATCACTAAACTCAATACTCAGAGATAATAGTTCAGTATATGTTTTTTATATAAAAGCATAGTTTTACATGTCTTTACTGGTTTTTATAACCAGCTCTCCTCATGTATTAGTCCATTCCCATTGCAATAAAGAAATACCTGAGACTAGGTAATTTATTTATTATTTATTTTTATTATTTATTTTTTTGAGACAGAGTCTCACTCTGTCACCCAGGCTGGAGTGCAATGGCGTGACCTCGGCTCACTGCAACCACCGCCTTCCGGGTTCAAGCGATTCTCCTGCCTCAGCCTCCCAAATAGCTGGGATTACAGGGGTGCACCACCACACCCAGCTAATTTTTTGTATTTTTAGTAGAGACGGGGTTTCACCATGTTGGCCGGGCTGGTTTTGAACTCTTGACCTCAGGTGATCTGCCGAGACTGGGTATTTTATAAAGAGAAGAGGCTTAATTGCCTCACAGTTCCACAGGCTGTACAGCAAGCAAAATCCTGGCATCTGCTCAGCATCTGGGGAATCCTCAGGAAACTTTCAAACATTGTGGAAGGCAAAAAGGGAGCAAGCATCTCACATGGCTGGAGCAGGAGGAAGAGCAGAACGGGGAGATGCCACACACTTTTAAACAGCCAGATCTCACGAGAATTCTATCACGAGACAGCGCTAGGAGGACGGTGCTAAACCACTGGAAAACGCCCCCACGATCCAATCACCTCCCACCCAGACCCCAGCTCCAACGCTGAGGATTACAATTCAACATGAGATTTGCGCAGGGACACAGATCCAGACCATTTCACCTCACCTAACAGTATGTCATGGCTTTCCATGTCATGAAGAGTTTGTCACCATAATTTTTAATAGCTCTGTAGAGTGCTATCATTTGAATGCAATATAATTTATTTAGAAAAGCCCTAACTTACAGACATTTGGGGGGTCTTATTGGTAATCAGTTGTTTTGTTAATAAAATTGATAATTAATGATGATAGATACTTTAACAGCACTATGTACCGAGCGCCATTCAGAGGGTTTTAAGTATATTATGTACTTCACAATAAGTTCACATGGTAAACATGCTGCTTTTACTCTAATTTTGAGATAGGGAAACTGAGGAACAGAGAGATTAGATAACCTGTCAGTGGTCTCACAGTTAGTAATTGACAGAGCAGGCACTTGAATCCTGCTTAGGTTCGAGAACTTGCTTAGGTTTCAGAATCTCTCCTCTGCCTCAAATAATAATTTATAAATAACTTCCTTGAGACAGATTCCAATAGATTGAAATGCTGAGTCAAATGGTATGCACTTTTTTTTTTTTTTTTTTTTTGAGATGGAGTTTCACTCTTGTTGCCCAGGCTGGAGTGCAGTGGCACGATCTCGGCTCACTGCAATCTCTGCCTCCCGGGTTCAAGTGATTCTCCTGCCTCAGTCTCCTGAGTAGCTGGGATTACAGGCATGCGCCACTACGCCTGGCTAATTTTGTATTTTTAGTAGAGACGGGGTTTCTCCATGTTGGTCAGGCTGGTCTCAAACTCCCGACCTCAGGTGATCCACCTTGCCTCAGCCTCACAAAGTGCTGGGATTACAGGCGTGAGCCACCACGCCTGGCGATATGCACATTTTTAAGGCTTTTAATCCAGAATGTCATATTGCTCTTCCAAAAATTGTACCAATTTATACTCCCACTTGCGGGTTTGAGGGCTCCATTTCACTCTACCTTTTCCACTATGGGGCATTATTATTTTCTAAATCTTTGCGAGCTTGATAAGTATAAAAAGAGGAATTACTAGGTGCAGTGGTACATGTCTGTAATCCTAGCCACTCAGGAGGGTGACATGGGATGATCCCTTGAAACCAGGAGTTCAAATCCAGCCTGCGCAATAGAGCAGAGACATTGTCTCTAATAAACAAACACAAAAAGAGAGGCTACCTTAGGGTTTTAACTTTAGTAACTTAGTTCCTAACAAGGTTGAGCATGTTTTCTTATGTTAGACATTTGCATAAGCCAAGGTGCAAAGAGCTGTGTGAAAATGGAAGACCAATTCAGGAATTCCCAGATGTGTGGCAGGACATTTGGGTGTGTGTGGACATTGTTGAAAGATGAGGCCTGGAACCCAGTGTTGCAAACTACATGTCAACAGGGCCAGACAATGTAGGTGAATGAAACACGTTGGGGCCAGGGTGGCCAGAGAGCTCCTGGATGCCTAAAACCCCGGTGAATTGTTGTCAAGGGACAATAGGAATTCAGACTTCCATAGAAAATCTGGTTTTTCCATGTTGGCTCAATTCCACCCTACTGCAGGGGTCAAACCAAACAGGCCTACCAATCAAATGTGGTTTATGGGCTCCCAGTCTGCTGTTTGTAGTCTGGAGGTGTCTTAGTTTATTTTCTGCTGTGTAACAGAATCCCTGAGACTGGGTAATTTATAAGAAAAGAGGTTTATCTGGCTCCTGATTCTGGAGGCTGGGAAGCTCAAGAGCACAGCAGTGGCATCTGGTGAAGGCGTTCATGCTGCATCATCTCATGGCATAAAGTGGAAGGGCAAGAGAGCACATAAGAGTGAGAACCAAGAGAGGGTCAAGCTTGCTTTTACAATAAATCCACTCCTGTGATAATGAGCCCAATCCTGCAATTATGAACCCATACTCAAAATAATGACATTAGTCCATTCATGATGTCAGAGCCCTCATGACCTGGTCAGTTCTTAAGGTCCCACCTCTCAAAACTGTTGCACTGGGGATCAAGTTTCCAACACATGAATTTTGGGGGACACATTCAAACCATAGCAGAGGGCAAGATTGTAAAAGCTCTTATGTGTTGTGGTCAGCATTTTGGGATCTTCCTGGCCGGAATGTGATCTATAGAACTGAAGTGATGGGTCTGGCCAGGGTTATAATTCTGAGGAGCTGGCTGGGGCAGTCTGCTTGGTTAGTGACAGTATGAAGCAAAGGAAAGAAATGACAGTTCAGAATCTAGCTCTTGAGGGAGGAGATAAGCATGAAGCTGGGTCCAGGGGAACAAATGTAGAAATGTAAAATGAGAAATGAAGTGAGGAGTTGGAATTCTGGTAAGGGTGGTAAGAGGCGGCAGAAGAGGTCTAGGATGAGACCAAGTCTGAGTTTGCTTGTTTGTTGGAGGGTGAGTGGTGGTGGGGCATCTCAAGCTGGCTTGAAAAATCAGACACAGGGTCAACCATTCAAATAGAAGGGTGACAGGATCAGTGCTGATTATAGGAAGAGCCATCTGGTGGTATTGACTGCATCTGGTGGAAATACTGCAGACAGAGAGACCCACTGGCAGGCAATTACAGTCTTCTTGATGAGAGATGTTGAGCACCTGAGTGAGGACTGTGGCATCAAAGGAAAGCAAAAGGTATGTGTTTGAGCAATGCTATTATCAACCAGCTTGGAGAACTGCTGGTAGATTGGAAATCCATTGGCGACTCCTGTACTGTGCAAAATTTCAACAGTCGTAGCTGGAAGGGAATAACTAGTGCATTAGGTTAATCGTGAAGGTGAAAGATTTTGAAGTATGGCAGGGTTTAGTGGAGCAAAGAAGGGAACATTCTCAGGCTACATGTCTGGGAATATGGAAGCTGAAGGCCTTCACCACCTCAGGAAAATCTGCTATAATTAGAAGAGTGTTTGACAAGAGCTAAAAATTATAAACAGCAGAGATGCATAGGCAGGCGGCCAATGGACCATGTCAGCATTGTAATGAAATCTGAACTGCTCTGAGCCAAGGATTGCCTATGTTTCTCAACTTTTTACTGACATTGCCTAGTCTTCACCAGAAGACTGTCCAAGAATGACTCTGGCTTGAAGGCATTTAGGCTGCTACTGAAGATATTAATAAATATAAATTCTCTAGATACATTAAGCTGAAAACCCCAAGAATATCCCATTCATGGCTTTACCTCCACCATCTACTCTGGAATGTTGGAGGCATGCAAGAAAGTATTTGAATAAGTGAGTAAATTATCTGGAAACAAAATCAACAAGTTCTTTAGCACATCTGCACTCCTAAACTAGAGCCTAGAAAATTCACTTAAATTTTCTAGGCTGTAGTTCACATAGCTTGGTAACGAGGGGGAGGCATTAGGAAATTTTTGAAATCCATTCAATTCTAAAATTCAGGGGTTTTCCTCCTTTCTTCATTTCATCTTTTCCTTTTAAACTAAGGAGTGAATTTGTTGGCAGTTATGCGAGATGAGTGCAGAGATGTCATATTAAGAATGCTATACCACTGTCTCAGGGACTACAAAACTAGAAACATCCACATCAAACAAAACAGGGTCTCTTTTAGTAAGTTTCTCGTGTTAAAAATCCTAAATAGGCCAAATGTGATGGCTCATGCCTGTAATCCCAGCACTTTGGGAGGCCAAGGTGGGAGGATTGCTTGAGTCCAGGAGTTTGACAGCCTGGGCAACATAGTGAGAGGAGAGCCATGTCTATTTGAAAAAAAAAAAAAATCCTAAGTGATCAATTGATCACTTGAACTGGTTCAATTGATCAATTGAACCAGTACTGGGTGGAAACAAATATATACTTTTAATTTCTTTCTTTCTTTTTTTTTTTTTTTGAGACGGAGTCTCGCTCTATTGGCAGGCTGGAGTGCAGTGACGCGATCTCAGCTCACTGAAACCTCCGCCTCCCGGATTCAAGCAATTCTCCTGCCTCAGGCTCCCAAGTAGCTGGGACTACAGGTGTGCGCCACCACGCCCGGCTAATTTTTGTATTTTTAGTAGAGACGGGGTTTCACCATGTTGGCCAGGATGGTCTCGATCTCTTGATCTCGTGGTCTGCCCGCCTCGGCCTCCCAAAGTGCTGGGATTACAGGCGTGAGCCACCATGCCCGGCCTATGTACTTTGAATTTCCAAAAATGACCCAAATTAGCAATCAGAATAAGAGGCTACAAGTTATTTAACACTACAATTCCCTGCCATTTGGTAATTTTCCATTTTTTTTGTTGTTAAAGTTAATTGAATTATTAGAATTAGTCACAAGCACAATTACTAAATTAATGAAGCAAATAAAGCTTAGATGTATATCAATAAACTTTTGTAAAAAATATAAAAGCAATACAACATTAAAGAAAGTTTTATAAGTAAGGAAAACACTGGTATTTCCTCCACTCACATTTCACATGCAAATATTTGTGCATGGTTTATTAATAGTATACAATTTCATATTCTGGTGTTTTTGTGGGGTTTTTTTTTTGTTTGCTTGTTTTTTTGATTCAGAGCCTCACTCTGTTGCCCAGGCTGAAGTGCAGTGGTGCAATCTCGGCTCACTGCAACCTCTGCCTCCTGGGTTGGAGCAATTCTCCTGCCTCAGCCTCCCAAGGAGCTGGGATTACAGGTGTGTGCCACCACGCCCGGCTAATTTTTGTATTTTTAGTAGAGACAGGCTTTCACCATGTTGGCCAGGCTGGTCTTGAACTCCTGACCTCAGGTAATCCACTCCTCTCAGCCTCCCAGAGTGCTGAGATTACAGGCGTGAGCCACCGCGCCCGGCCTTTGTTTTTGTTTTAACTTTAGATCAATCATTCTTAACCAGGGGTGATTTTGCACCTGAGGGGACATTTGGCAATGTCTGGAGAGATTTTGGTCTGTCACATCTGTGGTTGGGGACCTGCTACTGGCATCTAGTGGGAAGAGACTGGGAACACTGCTAAACATCCTAAACGACATAGGTCAGCCCCCACGACAAAGAATTACCTGGTCCAAATGTCGATAATGCTGAGGTTGAGAAAACTGCTTTAGATTATAGTAAAAAAAGCGGTCTTTTCCACAGAAACATTATCCCCATGATTTTATTAAAGGGATTATATTTTCAACCATGTATTTAGTGGTTATGTATGCCAGGCATTGCAAAGCACTGTACACAGATTTTTCTCATTTAGCCCTCCCAAAACCCTGTGAGGTTTTAAAGACGAGTACACCATGTCTTAAAGAGATTCAATAGTTGTTCAGAGTCATACAGTTAGTGGTAGCAATGCTTGTCTCTCCGACTTCAAAGCTGGTGCTGTCAGTTATCGTGTGTAATGTCATAATGAACATCTTCATATACGGATTTCTGCATTTTAAAAGTCCCTTCCGTAGCTTATTTTGAAGATATTAAAGGGTCAAAGGGAATTGGCAGTTATGGTGGCTTTTCCTACATGTTTCTAAATTGATTTTCTACAGCTGAACCAATTTCAGCACTACCATTGAATTGTGAGAAAGCCCTTTCAATATATTCTCATCAGCATTGACTATTTAACATTTAAAAACAAAATTCCTTGTTTTCTTAAGAAATTAAAAAGTATATATGTGAGCTTAAATAATAAGCAATTTCTGGAACTTGTTACCACAGATAGTTCTCCCAAAATGAGGACCAAACTGTGTAAGAATAATGAGAACGTCAAGTCAATATAAATAAAGCTTGCATTTCAAAGAATCATGTTTAACAAACGCAGTTATTTGACTAAGAAAGGCTGAGCCCCAAGAAAAACATTCCTGGTTACTCTGTAAACTTTGCCTCAAATGCTCTGTTTATATAAGCCTATGAAGAGCAAATGAGAGAATTGGATTTTATAGTTTAAAATGTTTTCTCAGATAATATTGACTTTTTTTTTTGCCCTGTCCTAGAAATAATGAAAAATAGGCCTTTGCTAGGATTCTTGTGAATGAAGGGTACGGTCCTACCCATACTCCCCATAACTACCCTCCCAGAGTCCTGACAAAGAATAGTGATAGTGATCCTAACAGCAAATATAATAATAATAGAATCGAGTCCAGTATTTTTCCAATACTAGTTGTGTCCCATTAGAGGATACAGAAATCACTTTAGTAGTTTTTGATCAGAATTTTTAAGATGAAACTAGACCAGAAAACAACATAAAATTAACAAGTGCATCGCATGTAATAAGCACAAGTATTGTTTTATGAAACTTGTTTGCTTTATATACGTGTGTGTGTGTGATGGTATACAGTGTTTTTTCTGTGGGTTGCAGTCTAAAAGGTTGAAAAGCCACTGATCAGATTTACCTACTTCATTTGAGAGGTGAGGTTTGGAGACGTTGGATGATGTCCAGGGATACCCAGCTGGTTAGTGGCAAAGCTGGAATGAGAACGGAAGTTCCCTAATCCCTAGGCCAGTGTCTACTCCATCAGGGTGCTCAGCCTGGGATCAGTCTCTGGCAGCAGGCAGGAAACAGGCTTAATAGAGAGGCTTTTAGGGAGTAGAGAAGGAGCAACTGGACATTGGCAAGAGTGATGGGACTGGTAGCTTTGGGATCTCCATGTATCTTTCAGCCCAAGCCAAATTAAATTACTTACTGAACAGTGAGCACATTGTACATTCAGGGTCTTCAATCTTAAGCTTGCCATTATCTCCTCAAAATAATAACCAAGTGATGCTTACTAGGTATTCAAATTGAGCTGTCACCAGAAGTCTTGTTGAATATTTTCTCACTTCCCTAAGCAAGTTGAACCAAGCAGGACAGATATGGAGAATGGATGATTGCTGATCACCCAGGTCATTATTGAAGGGCAAATTGAAATGGGTTGGTGCTTGCTAAGAAGGTAGAAGAGGCCGGGCACAGTGGCTCACGGCTGTAATCCCAGCATTTTGGGAGGCCAGGGCGAGTGGAGCACTTGAGTTCAGCTCAAGACCAGCATGGCCAACATGGTGAAACCCTATCTCTACTAAAAATACAAAAAATTAGCTGGACGTTAGTGGCACGCCCCTCTAGTCCCAGCTACTTGGAAGGCTGAAGCAGGAGAATCACTTGAAGCTGGGAAGCGGAGGTTGCAGTGAGCTGAGATTATGCCACTGGACTCCAGCCTGGGCAACAGAGCAAGACTCTGTCTCAAAAAAAAAAAAAAAAAAAAGAGAAAAAGAAGAAAGGTAGAAGAAATGCTTTTTGGTACTGAGAAGTAGAGATTATTACACCTTAAGTTGCCATGTCCTATTGGGAAATCAAGACAGCATCCAGGCCCGTCTGATCCTCACAAAACCTAAACGGTCCTCCCCATCAGCACTAAAGACTGACTGAGTCAATGGGGCCACCCTTGCATTGGGAATGGACGCGCGTTCATTCCTTTAACATTGGTTGAGAGTCTCCTGGTGGCCAAGTGCTATGAAGTCAAAGGCACTGTGAGAACTGGTCCTCTGCTCAGTGCAGCTTTTTCCTATAACAGGTGGGCTGATGCCTTCAAGGAGGTGATGTGAGAGATCCGTTAAAATGCATATATTCCTAGCAGTGGGAACAAGTTAGTTACAATTAACCCAAGGATATAGGGACCAGATTCACTCACAAGAGAAGATTTTGAGTGAGAATAGTTAGTAAGAGACTAACCTACAAACCTGATGAAGACTGAGGGAGAGAGGTCAAGGAGGGGAGGAAAAAAGGACAGTGCTGTTGCTCCCCAGGACAAGCTGCATCCTCCTCCCAGTGTTGCTTACAGCTGAGAGCTACTCACACTTGATCACACACAAGAATCTTCTGGGGATTTTGTGAAGATGCTGACGTTGGATGTTGATACAAGAGGCCTGGCGTGGGTCTCAATTTCTTTTTTGAGACAGGATCTCACTGTGTTACCCAGGCTAAAGTGCAGTGGCCTGATTTTGGCTCACTGCAGCCTTGACCTCCCATGCTCAGATGATCCTTCCACCTCAGTCTCCCGAACACCTGGGGCCCCAGGCGCACATCACAACACCCAGCTAATTTTTGTATTTTCATAGAGATGGGATTTCTGTATGTTGCCCAGGCTGGTCTGAAACTCCTGGATTCAAGAGATCTACCTGCCTGTTACAGGAAAGGGATCCCGATCCAGACCCCAAGAGAGGGTTCTTGGATCTTGCAAAAGAATGAATTCAGGGTGAGTCTTCAGTGCAAAGTGAAAGCAAGTTTATTAAGAAAGTAAAGGAATAAAAGAATGGCCACTCCATAGACAGAGCAACCCCGAGGGCTGCTGGTTGCCCATTTTTATGGTTATTTCTTGAAGATACACTAAACAAGGAGTGGATTATTACCCCCGTTTAGACCATAGAGGGCAACTTCCTGACATTGCTATGGCAGTGGTGGGAGTGTAGCAGGACGACCAGAGATTGCTCTCATCGCCACTTTGGTTTTGGTGGGTTTTGGGCGGCTCCTTTACTGCAAACTGTTTATATCAGCAAGGTCTTTATGACCTGTATTTTGTGCTGACTCCTGTCTCATCCTGCTATGTCTGGAATTGGTGGGTTCTTGGTCTCACTGACTTCAAGAATGAAGCTGCGGACTCTCGCAGTGAGTGTTACAGTTCTTAAAAGCAGCGGGTCTGGAGTTTGTTCCCTCTAATGTTTGGATGTGTTCAGAGTTTTTTCCTTCTGGTGGGTTCGTGGTCTCGCTAGCTCAGGAGTGAAGCTGTAGACCTTTGCAGTGAGCGTTATATCTTTCAAGGCGGTGCGTTTGGAATTGTTTGTTCCTACCAGTGGGTTCGTGGTTTTGCTGGCTTCAGGAGTAAAGTTGCAGACCTTCGTGGTGAGTGTTACCACTCATATAGGCTGTATGGACCCAAACAGTAAGCAGTACAAAGATTTATTGCAAAGGACAAAAGAACAGCACTTCCACAGTGTGGAAAGCAACCTAAACAGGGTACCGCTGTTAGTTTTGTCAGCCTGCTTTTATTCTCTTATCTGGCCCCACCCACATCCTGCTGATTGGTCTGTTTTACAGAGAGCTGATTGGTGCATTTACAATCCCTGAGCTAGACACAAAAGTTCTCCACCTCCCCACTAGATTAGCTAGACACAGAGTGCTGATTGGTGCATTTACAAACCCTGAGCTAGATACAGAGTGCCGATTGCTGCATTCACAATCCCTTAGACATAAAGGTTCTCCAAGTCCTCACCAGAGTAACTAGATACAGAGTGCCGATTGGTGCACTCACAAACCCTGAGCTAGACACAGGGTGCTGATTGGTGTGTTTACAAACCTTGAGGTAGATACAGAGTGCTGATTGCTGTATTTACAATCCCTTAGCTAGACATAAAGTTTCTCCAAGACCCAACCAGAGTAACTAGACACAGAGTGCCAATTGGTGCATTCACAAAACCTGAGCTAGACACAGGGTGCTGATTGGTGTGTTTACAAACCTTGAGCTAGAGACAGAGTGCTGATTGGTGTATTTACAATCCCTTAGCTAGACATAAAGGTTCTCCACGTCCCCACCAGACTCAGGAGCCCAGCTGGCTTTACCCAGTGGATCCCGCACCAGGGCCGCAGGTGGAGCTGCCTGCCAGTCCCACTCCGTGCGCCTGCACTCCTTAGCCTTTGGGCGGTCGATGGGACTGGGCACCATGGAGCAGGGAGGGGTGCTCGTTGGGGAGGCTCTGGCCGCGCAGGAGCCCATGGCGGTCGGGGGGAGGCTCAGACATGGCCGGCTGCAGGTGCTGAGCCCTGCCCCGCTGGGAGGCAGCTAAGGCCCAGCGAGAAATCCAGCACAGCAGCTGCTGGCGCAGGTGCTAAGCCCCTCACTGCCCCGGGCGGCGGGGCCGGCCGGCTTCTCCGAGTGCTGGGCGCCCCCAGCCCACGCCCACCCGGAACTCACGCTGGCCGGCAAGCGCTGCGCGCAGCCCTGGTTCCCGCCGGCGCCTCTCTCTCCACACCTCCCAGCAAGCTGAGGGAGCTGGCTCTGGCCTTGGCCAGCCCAGAAAGGGGCTCCCACAGTGCAGCCGCGGGCTGAAGGGCTCCTCAAGTGGGGCCAGAGTGGGTGCCAAGGCCGAGGAGGTGCCGAGAGCGAGCGAGGGCTGCTAGCATGCTGTCATCGCTCACCGTGACTTAGAATGCGTAACCATCTGGGAATGCGGTCCAGTAGGTTTCAGCCTTATTTTACCCAGCTCCTATTTAAGATGGAGTTGCTCTGGTTCACAGGCCTCTGACACCTCAGCCTCCCAAAGTGCTGGGACCACAGGCATGGGCCACTGCACCTGGCCAGAGTCTGCATTTCTTCTTTTTTTTTTTTTTTTTTTTTTGACACAGGGTCTCACTCTGTTGCCCAGGCTGGAGTGCAGTGCTGCAACCTCGGCTCACTGCAACCTCCACCTCCCAGGTTCAAACAATTCTTCTGCCTCAGCCTACTGTGTAGCAGAGACTACAGGTGCGTGCCATCACACCCGGCTAATTTTTGTATCTTTAGTAGAGACAGGGTTTCACCACGTTGGACAGGCTGGTCTTGAACTCCTGACCTCAGGTGATCCGCCCGCCTCGGCCTCCCAAAGTGCTGGGATTACAGGTGTGAGCCACCACGCCTGGCCAGATTCTGCATTTCTAACAAGCTTCCAGGTGCTGCTGATGCCCCTACTCTTAAGAGCCACACTCAAAAAGCAAGGCTTTGTGCCCACTCCTGCCACTTTCTGCGCCTCAGAATTCTTTGCAAAAAGAGTAGAATTCAACTTGTTCTGTTTGCCCTTCTTTCCCCTTCTGCTTTTAAAAATGTAATGTTTTAATGCACAAACATGCATAATATGTAAGCACATACGTGTTTGACACCTGTCATCAAACAGAAAGTATTGAAGTTGAGGTTTGGAATTTCAGTAACACGAGGTTAGTAGGTGTTATGTGTTCATTTTATAAAGACAGCAGGTAATTAATTATAAATGTCACGATCTTACCTCTGCAATAATGGAATCTGTTTCTGAGTAAGAGTCAGTTTGGGATTATCAGTATTAAAGAGAATGAAAAAGGAAGAAAAATGTCTTGTGCTTTCAAAAATAGTCATTTCAACATTAAATGACTTTTTGTCATGGGAATGTACTCTTCATACTTTTATGATGTAGTTATTTAATAGACATTGGCTCATAATAACACGTCAGCTAAGCACACAAATGTCGGTAAATAAGCCAGATTCTCTCTTTGCTTTCCAGACTCTCCTTCTCCATCCCACAGCTTCACCGGACAAGTTTTACTCCAAATTCTTTTAAAATGTGTGTTAAGAACAAAACAAGGTAGCTTCCTTTAGATAGGCAAGCATCAAAATAATTGTAAAGTATTAAAATGCAAGTTAAAGAAATAGAAATATTGCTTAATAGTGTTTTTCTTGAATACTTGAATACTTTTATTAAATAAATTCAAGTTTAGGTAGCAAGAAGAAAAGACTCTTGCCTTATAGAGAGCCCTTAGGATTTAAGACTCATGCTGTTTACAGGAAAAGCTGTAACAAAATTTAATTTTAGTTAGGAAACCTGGTTACAAATCAGATCATCATATAATCATCATATGACATCAGGGCAAAAGAACAGACCTTTTTTCTTCTGATCTTCTGAAAATGCACATTTTTATTAATATTTTTAAAAGCCTAATTCAATTAAATTTCTTCAAAATATTGGTCTTGTCCAATTTTTTCTTTATTAAAAACTATTAAAAATATTCATTGTCTTAAGTAGCTTTTTTCTTCTTTTATTTTAGGAATGATCCCTCTCTTGTCACCCAGGCTGGAATACAGTAGTACTCAAACTCACTGCAGCCTTTAGCTCCTAGGCTCAAGCAATCCTCCCACTTCAGCCTCCCCAGTAGCTGGGACTACAAGAGTGCATCACCATGCTTGGCTAATTTAAAAAAAAAAATTGTGGAGATGGTGTCTTTCTGTGTTGCCTAGGCTGGAGTGCAGATGTGCAATCATTGTTCACTGCAGTCTCAAACTCCTGGGCTCAAGTGATCCTCCTGCCTCAGCCTCCTGAGTAGCTGGGACCACAGGTGGGAGTCACAAAGCCTGCCTAATTTTTAAAAAAATTTTTAGTAGAGATAGGGTCTCACTATGTTGCCCAGGCTGGTCTCGGACTCCAGACCTCAAGCAATCCTCCCACCTCGGCCTCCCAAAGCACTAGGATTACAGGTATGAGCCACTGTACACAGCCCTTGAGTCGTTCTTTTTCTCATTAGCATGTGTATTAGCTTTTTACCTGGCTCTGCAACAAATTACCACAAATTCAGCAGCTTCAACAACATAAATATATTGTCTTACAATTCTGCAGGACAAAAGCCTGACCAGGCTGAAATCCAGGCATTGGCTGGGTCAGGTTCCTGTCTGTAGGCTCTGAATACAATCCATTTCCTTGCCTTTTCTAGCTTCTAGAGGCCACTCACATTCCTGGCTGGTGGCTTCTTCCCCCATCTTCAAACAGCAAAGGCAGAGTCAGAGTGGAGCCTTCTTACATCGTGTCACTCTGTCCAGCTCTTCTGTTTCCTTCTTCCAATGTTGAGGACCCTTGTGATTACATTTGGCTCACCCAGATAATTCAGGATAACCTCCCTATTTTAAGGTCAGCTGATCAGCAACTTTAATCTCCCTTTGCTGTGTAAAATAACATATTCTCAGGTTCCAGGGATTAGGATGTAGGCATCTTTGTCTGTTCTGCATGTGTGTGTTTGAGGGAGTGAGTGGGTGGAGGCCATTATTCTGCCTACCACAATATATCTTATCAGTAATTAAAAAGAATCTTCTAAGAGAGGACTATTGAAATTTGGGTACAGATAGCATTTGCACAGTGCCATTGCATCAAAATTCAGATTGCATTACTCACTGGTGGAAAATGCTGTAACTCTAAAGCAAAGTATTTCTCTTTTAGTTGCATTTATGTTGACTCCCATGTTTTCCTTTTCTTTTTTTAATTTTTTTTTTTTATTTTGAGACAGGGGCCTGCTCTGTAACCCAGGCTGGAGTACAGTGGCACAATCATGGCTCATTGCAGCCTTGACCTTCCTAGGCTCACATGATCCTCCCACCTCAGCCTCCTAAGTAGATGGGACTACAAGCACGTGCCACCGCACTCAGCTAATTTTTTATTTTTTGTAGAGACAGGGTTTCATTAGGTTGCCCAGGGATCTTCTTACCTCGGCCTCCTAAAGTGCTGGGATTACAGGCATGAACCACTATGTCTGGCAACTTCTTCTCTAGTAATGATTTATATATTATAATCTTGGAGTCTAACTATGATTAAATAGACCCTTCAATCTCTATGACCTATCCAAAATTTATTTCATAGACAGGGTTATTGAAAAACACTTAGCACAGTGTTTCTCAAATGGGGTGATTTTGCTCACCCACAGGACATTTGGCAATATCTGCAGACATTTTTGGTTGTCACAATTGAGGAGAGGGTGCTATCGGCATCTATTGGGTAGAGGCCAAGGATGCTGCTAAACATCTTACAAAACACAGGACAGCCCCCACAACAAAGAATCATCCAGCCCAAACTGTCAATCGCGCTGAAGTGGAGAAACCCTGGCTTAGCAAGATGCCAACCTACAGCACCCCACCCCTCAACCGAATTAGGTATTAGTAAATGGATCAGAATTGTATTAGTATATTGATTTGTATATTGATTGAATTAGATGTTATACTAATTAGATGATGAGTCAACAACTAAAATTCTGGTCAAAAGATCAACTGGAGGAAACAGAAGATGGGTAGATCAGTACATACCAATCTGTGTGAAATGCGAAAGGTAATAAACTGAAAGAAAGTAAGCCTGACTTAGAGGCTTAATTGATGAAATTGATGCCCTTCTCTCATGACTCTCATCTCTACGCTTCTTCTTTATCAACATTGCAGGTGTTCCTGGCTCTATGCCAAATGCATCCTGGACTGGAAACCTCAGAGCTATAAAGTGGAGTGACATGGAAGACAGACACGGAGGCTGCCACGGTGAGGCTCTCGTTCCATGCTTCTAGGCCACTGCCTGTTGGTGTTAGCAGGAAGGTAGCTGTGGAATCCAGGGTTCTCATGGAGAGAGAATTGCTGCTATATTTAGACCAATCTGTTAGTTATTGGAGAAGCCAGAGGCTTCAAGACACAGTCCTTCAAAAATAAGTTTAAACATCTCATTGATGTTCTCTAACTTATAATTACCTAGGGAGATGGAAAAATGGGTTCAAATCAGGGCGGCATGTTTTTCTTCCTGCTAGTTTTCAGCTTTCTTTCTTTCTTTAGAGACAGGGTTTCACTCTGTCATTCAAGCTGGAGTGCAGTGGCATGAATGCAGCTCACTGCAGCCTCAACATCCTGGGTTCAGGCCTCACACCTCAGCCTCCCAAGAAGCTGGGACCACAGGCGTGCACCACCACACCTGGCTAATTTTTTTTTTTCTTGTAGAGTCAGCTTTCTTGTTTATTCCTCTTGCTGTGCCTTCTGGGAGTCCAGCTGTTCAGAGGCGAAAGCCATCAGGAGGAGAAGTGATGTCATGTTGGCACCGCAGAGAAAGCTGGGCCCCCAACCCTCAGGCCAGTCCCTGCTCCCCCTACAGGCAGCCTTCCCAGTGGCTTGGAGAGCTGTCGGGGTTTGCACAGCTCTGGCATGATGGATGGCAGGTTACACTAGCAAGAAGGGTTCCCCTCCAAATGGAAAAGAACTAGAAATCCTAAGTCATTTCCATTTCTATAGAATTTTGTGAAGGAGAGTTTTTATCAGTCCTGGCACACACTGCATTCAGAATATTGCCCAGCATATACTGGGCATGAGTATTAGTTTGCTAGGGCTGCCATAACAAAGTGGCACAGACTGGGTGCTTAATAGAAATTTATTTAGTTCTAGAGGCTGGAAGTCCAAGATCCAGGTGTCAGCAGGGCTGGTTTATTAAGGCCTCTCTGCTTGGCTTGTAGATAGCATTTTCTCCCTGTGTTCCCACATGGTCTTCCCTCTGTGCGTGTCTGTGTCCTAATCGCCTCTTCTTCTAAGGAGACCAGTCATATTGGATTATGGCCCACCCTAAAGGTCTCATTTTAATTTAATTACCTCTTTAAAGACCCTGTCTCCACTCTGAGACACTCAGTGTTAGGATTCAACATATGAATTTAGAGAGACAAACAATTCAGTCCATAATATGCAATAAATATTTATTTAGTAAGTGATTGTTTGAACAAATGAATCAATGAATGAATGACAATATGGTGGTTTGGCCTTTTCTCTCTATGGCAACGAGACTTTGCCTCTACTCCTCAGTCCATCTTTTTTTTTTTTTTTTTTTTTTTTTTTTGAGATGGATTCTCGCTCTATCACCAGGCTGGAGAGCAGTGGCGCCATCTCAGCTCACTGCTGCAACCTCCACCACCCAGGTTCAAGTGATTCTTCTGCCTCAGCCTCCCAAGTAGCTGGGATAACAGGTGCATGTCACCACGCTCAGCTAATTTTTGTATTTTTAGTAGAGACGGGGCTTCACCATGTTGGCCAGGATGGTCTCAGTCTCTTGACCTCGTGATCTGCCCCCCTTGGTCCCCCAAAGTGCTGGGATTACAGGCGTGAGCTACTGCGCCCGGCCCCATCTTACCTGCACCTAAATGTTAAATGTTTCAGGTGAAAATCTCCAAGTTGCTCCATCTCTACAACTCTCCATTACACCAACCTCTTTCTCATGTGTCTCTTGATGGTCTCATCCCACTGTGGACAGCAATGTTTTCATGCAACTGTAAAGAAATTTTGGTCCATTCTGAAGCATGTTAATATATTTAATCAGCCTGTATTTTCTCCAGGGGACAGTGCATGCCACCTGCCTACATTATTTTTTTTTTTTTTTGAGATGGAGTTTCACTCTTGTCACCCAGGCTGGAGTACAAGTGGCACAATCTCGGCTCACTGGAACCTCCGTCTCCCGGGTTCAAGTGATTCTCATGCCTCAGCCTCCTGAGTAGCTGAGATTACAGGCACCCACCACCACACCCAGCTAATTTTTGTATTTTTAGTAGAGACGGGGTTTCACCATGTTGGCCAGACTGGTCTCAAACTCCTGACCTTATGATCCACCTGCGTCGGCCTCCCAAAGTGCTGGGATTACAGGCATGAGCCACCGCACCCGGCCTGTACTACCTTCATCAGCCCTCTTAGCACTTAGAATGATCTTCAACTTGGAGTGCCCATCTCTGATTACAGTGTCTTTGTCACCTCTACTAGTTTCCTTCACCTACTCACATCCTACTTATTTTACTGTCTTTCTTCCCAGAGCAGAAGCTCCAAGACAGCTAGGATTTTTGACCAGTTTGTTCACTGTTGTGTGTCCACACCTAAACCATGTTGTTTTTGGTTTGAATTGGGATTTCCAGAGGTTCAACATTTCAAGCTTTTTCCTTCTATGAGCTTCCTTCTGAGGACTCCCCGTCTGACCCGTGTATTGTAAGCCACTACAAGATGTCCTCACCAACATTTTTGGTCCTTTTGCCATTTTGACCCTACAAGGCTGATTCCTAACCCTAATCATTACCACCATCTGCCTTTTTTGCCGTTTGTACTTCCCTAGGCAGAGTATTGGTGGGGAGTGTTGCGGAACTCTCTTAAGACAAACCCACCATTGGGTCCTGTCATCTACCTTCAGCTAGGCCTCCTGGCTACCTACTTATCCTTTTGTTTACCTCATTATTTTCCTAGTGCCCTTCCTAAGGGACACCTTTTCAGCTTTCCTGCTCACCTTTAAGCTCCCAAGGTGTATTAGTCCGTTTTCACACTGCTGATAAAGACATACCCAAGACTGGGTAATTTATAAAGAAAAAGAAGTTTAATGGACTCACAGTTCCACGTGACTGGGGAGGCCTCACAATCCTGGCAGAGGGCAAAAGGCACATCTTACATGGTGGCAGGAAAAACAGAATGAGAGCCAAGAATGAGAGCCAAGCAAAAGAGGAAACCCCTTATAAAACCATCAGATCTTGTGAGACTTACTCACTACCACAAGAACAATCATGGGGGAAACTGCCCCCCACGATTCAACTATCTCCCACTGCATCCCTCCCACAACACATGGGAATTATGGGAGCTGCAATTCAAGATGAGATTTGGGTGGGGACACAGCCAAACCATATCACAAGGTTATGCTAAAACAGCCTTTCTATTCTCAAAAGCGACCATTTCAACTTGAAAAAGAACATTCAAGATATGTGATCAAAATTCATCATCTAGTCCCTTGTCAGGTCATCCTGCCCCACCATCTTAGAGCTGTGTGGACACCTTCTTTCATTGTTCCCTCCTGTTTCAAGAGGACAAGTCACCCATCCTCCCAACAAAAGCCGCCAGCTATGGTCTCAGCTATCTGTGGGCCCCCTCTCTCAGACCCTTGCTCTTTTGCATTCTCAGCCTCTCCCTTTCTGCTGCCTCTTTTCCTTTTCTCTGAAAGCCTGTACTCATTGCCCCTATCTTGAAGACATCGAGTTGTCTATGAACCTTCTGCTTTCTCCAGGCCGAAATATTCTTTCCTTGTTCACTTCCATTTCTTTAAGCGTGTGCTTAAGGCCTGTGTTTTTGGTTCTCGCCGCCTGGTCATTCTTTCACTTCCTACAATTCTGGCTTCTTTCCCCAATGACTTCTACTCTCTATTATGCTTCTTCCCAGCCCACTGAATTAATCACCATGTTCTATCTGTCCTTCTGTACTAGTGTCTTCAACATCCTCCCTTTCCCACTCATCACAGACATTAACTTTGAACAAGCTCTCCAGTTTGTGTTATTACTGCAGCCTCTTGGTTTCTAATGTACCTTGCAAAACACTTCAAAATTAATCTTGCTAAAATGAGTTTCATCACTTGATTCTTCTCTTCAAAAATCTTTAAGGACTGTCCATACTTGTGAGACACAAGGCCCAACCCTTCAGTCTGTGAAGTCAGTCAACCAGCAATTGTCCTGTGTGCCCAGAAGAATCTCTGGAAAATGGTTGCAACTTCCTACCATTCTTGTTTCTAACCTATTCCCAACAAAACCCCCTCTCCCAGCAGGAAGTCCCCACCCCAAAAGCTATTGAGGTTAAAAAAAAAAAAAATTTCAATATTGACGTGTTACATCACTGAGGTTTATCACACATCTAGGCAGAGGTGCAAAGTAGGCACTTGGATAGACCAGAGCTCAGGAAAAAGACTTACTCAACGCAACCCATAAAGATCTCTCCCACCTGTACCACTGTAGGACTTCTCATCTGTAACTCTCATTTAGTAATACCGTAGGCCCCCCTTATCCACGGGGGGATACATTTCAAGACCCCCAGTGGATGCCTGAAACCACAGACAGTACCGAACTCTAAATATACTTTGTTTTTCCCTGTACATGCATATCTATGATAAAGTTTAATTTTTGAAGTAGGCATAGTAAGAGGTTAACAATAATAACTAATTATAAAATAGAACAATTATAACAATATGCTGTAATAAAAGTTATGTGAATAAAAGTTCTGTGAATAAAAAAGTTATGTGTAATAAAAGATATATGCTCTCTTTCTTTCTCAAAATATCTTAATATTTTTGGATCGTGGTTGACTTCGGGTAGCTGAAACCTCAGAAAGCAAAACTGCAGATAAGGGGGGATTACTGTACATGAATGACCTTGTAACACCTATTATGTTACTAACACAATTTTCATATTAATTTTGATATACACAATAATTAACATAATTAAAATATTAACACCTGTTACTTTATGCCTTGTATGATTTAACTCTCATTTTTTTCAAATAACATATTTGTACCTCTTGTTCTTCTAAATAGAGTTCCAGTTCTTTGTGGGCTGAGACTGCACAATCATATTTCATTTGAATCCTGTACCATTGGCACAGTTGTAGTTAGTCGGAGAGTACCTCTAGTATTCTGTAAGTTCATCACCCTTTTGAAAGCAAGCATGTTTTGACTCTGTTTCTTGTTCTTTCTTTTGCAGGCCACTATGTACATGGTATTTGTATCTATGGAAACGGAGACTTAAAGTGGCTGGTTAATTCACCAAGCCTGTTTGCTAACAAGTTTGAGCTTAATACCTACCCCCTTACTGTGGAATGCCTAGAACTGAGGCATCGCGAAAGAACCCTCAATCAGAGTGAAACTGCGATACAACCCAGCTGGTATTTTTGAGCTATTCATGAGCTACTCATGACTGAAGGGAAACTGCAGCTGGGAAGAGGAGCCTGTTTTTGTGAGAGACTTTTGCCTTCGTAATGTTAACCGTTTCAGGACCACGTTTATAGCTTCAGGACCTGGCTACGTAATTATACTTAAAATATCCACTGGACACTGTGAAATACACTAACAGGATGGCTGGGTAGAGCAATCTGGGCACTTTGGCCAATTTTAGTCTTGCTGTTTCTTGATGCTCACCTCTATATTAGTTTATTGTTAGGATCAATGATAAATTTAAATGACCTCAGATCTTTGCACCAGATACTCATCATATACAAATGTTTTAGTAAAAAAGAGAATTGTAGATAATACTGTCTAGGAAAATAAGAATTAGGTTTCTTTGAAGAAGGAATCTTTTATAACACCTTAACAGTCACCACTGTGCTCAACCAGACAGATAGTGAAACAGCTTTCTGGGTAATTCACCAATTTCCTTTAAAACATAAGCTACCTGAATGGAGAATACATCTTGTTTCTGAGTTTCAACACTAGCATTTTTGGCTTACTCATGGACAAAGTTCTGTATATAGTATAAAGTCATTAACAAGAAACAGGATATGCTTTAAGACAGAATTCACTGTCTGTTGCTTCAGTAAAAGGACCTCGGGGAATAAAACATTTCTCTCTTATATGCCAGAATGTAGGCTGGTCCCTATGTCATGTCTTCCATTAAGAACACTAAAAAGTCCTTGCAAGAATGGAGATATGCATTCAAGAGAGGTGCTATCACATAGATCTAGTCTGAAGTCTGGAACACTTTCCTCTTCTATGACCCCTCTCTCCCCAGTATTATCTTACTTGCAAAATGGAGACCAAATTCTATCCTGTGAGGCTTTTAATTGCACCATAGTATGCTCTGAGTAGCTTTACACTGCCTGGTACTGATAGTAGTGGCTCGATTTTTAAGAGCCTTCAATTGTAGATGAACATCTCTGTTATTTATCCCTCATTCATCCATCCGTTCATTCATTCAGCCTTCAATCAACATCTCTTGAGTGTCTATTATGTACAGGACATGTACTGAGACAAAAAGGAAACATAAGAGCTTTTTCACTCTAAAAATCTTGGCAATAATGTCAACACCAGAAAGCCTCCTCTGGAGAATCTTACAGAGTGATTGTAGTTTAATACAGGAACACACAGGGCTGTGTAGCATGATACCAGGCCCAGGAGATCAGTAATTACAAATTAAGGGTTAAATCAGAGATTATTCAACAGAGAGGGAGAAAGGAGGAGACAGAGGGAGGACCTGTTGTGTTCCAGCCATTCTGGTATTCCTTTATGTATCTAATTTCATTCAAACCTCACAACAGTCTTGTGAGGCCCTTATATAATTACTCCCATTTTGCAGATGAAGTAACTGAGGCTTAGAAAGGTTAATAGCACCGGGGAACAATTTCTCTGGGTGAGAATTGGGACTCTGTTGCTGGTCTTCTCAGTTCATTTCCTGAGGTGGATTTACTGAGAGAAGGTGAAATAAAGCCATATTTAGTATACCAGAGAAGGTAGATTTTAAGAATGGTCTCAGTGTTAATACTGAGAAAAAGTCCTGTCAGTTCAGAAAAAATGTGAAGTCTACTTTAGTATTCCTGTAATACTAAACCGTTGAGTTTCTAAATATTTATTTATTCTAACAAAAAGCAATTACTACAAATGGATGACACATTTAATGAACACAATTTTATTTTTTTTCTGTAACTGTGCTTGTTGAATGTCAATCATATTTAAAGGGAATGACTTTGAAGTAAAACCTTTTTTCTTGCTACTGAAAAAAATGGAGTTGTTTTGGGTGGTAAAGTGTTAAGGAATAGGGACAGCTGGTCACACAAGGAACTCTTGAAGGCCACATGTGAAAACCTGTCACTTGCACAGAGGCCAGTCCCACTAAGGTGACCAGAGTGGGCTCCAAGCACAAACTGCCATTGGCTATAGATGGGACTGTGTCCCCCCAAAATTCATGTGTTGGAGCCTTAACCCTCAATGTGATGGTATTTGAGATGGGGCCTTTGGTAAGGGAAGTTTAGATGAGGTCACGAGGGTAGGACCCTCATGATGGGATGAGTCCCCTTACAAGACCTCTGGCTTGGGCCGGGCGTGGTGGCTCACACCTGTAATCCCAACACTTTGGGAGGCCAAGGCAGGTAGATCACTTGATGCCAGGAGTTCCAGACCAGGCTGGCCGACATGGTGAAACCCCATCTCTACTAAAAAATATAAAAATTAGCCGGGCTTTGTGGCATGTGCCTGTAATCCCAGCTATTTGGCAGGCTGAGGCATGAGAATCGCTTGAACCCAGGAGGTGGAGGTTACAGTGAGCTGAGAGTGCCCCACTGCACTCCAGCCTGGGTGACAGAGCGAGACTTTGTCCCAAAACAAAATAGGTGAGGGGATAGCGAATGCACTCAGGGTCAGCAGTGGAGTTTAAAAATTGTCTCTTTTCAACTTATTTAAATGACAGCACCTGAGAAGAGGAACCGTTTTACACTGGATGTTTCTCATGTAGAACAAGAAATCTTTCTGGAATTGATGTTTACATGTCTGTTGTTGGTCATCTCTCCTGTGTCTTAAATACTTTAATGTTGGAAGAGCATAGTGTTTGGGCTAGTGGGTTTCTGACAGCCCATGGGAATGCCCTGAAACTACTGTATCTGATGTTTGTTTTCGATGAGGTTCCATGTTTTGTTTTCTTGGGAATAAATTAATATATTGTTTTCCACTTCGGGGATACTGTGTATTTTTATATGACAATTGGTTAAAAATCCACTAAAGGATATGTCTAACAAGGCAATTCTCCTGGTGTTAAACAAAATTTACATTCATTCATACATACATGCATACCTGTCTAAGAAACATCCATCCACTGAAAAATCATTAAACTTTCCCATTGTGGGGTGTTGGAGAGAGTAACTGGGAGTGATAGAGAGAAGAGGGCGCAATAGAAGATCAGTGTCATTTGAATTGGGTATAACTTTTTTTTTTTGGTAAGAGTACAAGTATTTTTAAAATTTGAGACAGGAATAAGTTAACTTATTATTTACCTGCCTCTATTGTTCATTTAAAAAAATCAAGATATACATTAGGAAAAAGTTTTATGTTAATATTACCATAATTACTGATCAAGTGCCAATGTTTTTGAGCAGCATTTCAATTGTAAGTTTGATAAATATTGCCTCTAACAGACACATGGAAAATGATCAATACTAAAAAAAAAAAAAAAATCATTTAAAGGACATCTTATCCATCATATTTTTTCAAATAAAAATATTTTAAAGCTAAAGCGAAAAACATTTTAAACTATAATAAATACATACATGCTCATAAACATGGAAATAATGAAGAATATAGAATAAAAAGTGCACTACTTTCTCCAGACATAATCACTTATTTGCTTTTTTTGGTTTTTGTTTTTCTGAGACAGAGTCTCACTCTGTTAACCAGGCTGGAGTGCAGTGGCACAGTCATGGCTCACTGCAACCTCAACCTCCTGGGCTCAGGTGATCCTCCCACCTCAGCCTCCCAAGTAGCTGGAACCACAGGCATGTTCCACTGCACATGGCTAATTTTTGTATTTTTTGTAGAGACAGGATTTTGCCATGTTATCCTGTCTGGTCTCAAACTCCTGGGCTCAAGCGATCCACCTGCCTCAGCCTCCCAAAGTGCTGGACTACAGGCTTGAGCTACCACACCTGGTCAAGTGCTTTCTCAGTGTACTGATATAATCTATAGCAGTGCTGTCCAGTAGAATTTCTGCAATGATAAAAATGTTCTACATCTGCACTGCCCAATATAATTGCCACTCACATAAGCTAATGAGCTCTTGAAATGCAGCTAGTATGATTGGGAAATATTCTTTAACATTTTATTTGGCTTTAATTTTTTTTTTTTTTTTTTTGAGATGGAGGGGACTCATCCAGGCTGGAGTGCAATGGCACAATCTCGGCTCACTGCAACCTCCACCTTCCAGTTCAAGCGATTTTCCTGCCTCAGTCTCCTGAGTAGCTGGGACTACAGGTGCATGCCACCACGCCCAGCTAATTTTTGTGTTTTTAGTAGAGAGGGGATTTTGCCATGTTGGCCAGGCTGGTCTCAAACTCCTGATCTCAGGTGATCTGCCTGCCTCAGCCTCCCAAAGTGCTGGGATTACAGGTGTGAGCCACCGTGCCTGGCCAGCTTTAATTAATTTAAATAGCCACATATGACTAGTGGCTACCATTGGACAGCAGAGTTATAGAGGCAAACAATAGTTATATGTATGTGCTTGTATATACAGTGTATATACAGTGGGCATACTAAAAACAGATATACTGGCATATTTGAATTGATTATATAAATAAAAAATAATATATCTTTACAACTTGCTGTTTTAGTTCGACCTTTCTTTTTTTCTTTTTCTTTTCTTTTTTTTTTTTTTTTTAAGAGAGACTAAGTCTTGCTCTGTCACCCACGATGGAGTGCAGTGGCATGATCATGGCTCACTTCAGCCTCAAACTCCTGGGCTCAAGTGATCCTTGCATATCAGCCTCCCAAGCGTGTACCACCATGCCCGGCTAATTTTTTATTAATTTTTGTAGAGATGGGAGTCTCACGATATTTTCCAGGCTGGTCTCAAACTCCTGGCCTCCAGTGATCCTCCCACCTTGGACTCCTAAAGTGCTGGGATTATAGGCGTGCACCTGCCCATAATGCAATTTTAAATAGTAGCAGTGGTAGCAGCTTTCCTTGTGTTGTTTCCAACATTAAAAAGCACGTTGAATTACTGTTGTTGGAGATTTTATATAGCTTTTTAGTAGATACCTTTTATTGAGTTAAGAATTACAATAGCAGAAAATAAATATAAGTGTTATGATTCTGATTTTTTAAATCCCAGTTGCTATCTCTTTTTTGTTGGCTGATATAATTATGTGTGACAATGTGTTGTTGTTTTTAATTTTTTTCCCCACATATTAATTCAAAAGATAAGAAAAAAGTTTTCTACCCCTGCTTTTTTTTTTTTTTTTTTTTTTGAACACCTAGACTTGAGTACAGTGGCGTATGCCAAGCAAGAGATTGGAGCAGGGATCCATTTAAACAGAGAGCTACACAGTTGGAGTTTGGGAACACAAATGCCTGAGCTGGAAGGTGTCTATTATAACTCCTCCCTCTACTGGGTGGGTTGGTTTAGGGATTCAGGGGTCAAGCCAATTGGAAAACACATAAGTGGACAACCTCTGAGGGCTGACTTCTGACCTTGGAACAAGAATGTCTTTGAGAGGAGGAGGACATGGGCAAACCTGACTCTGGTCACCTTTCCATGAGGAACACCTACAAGCTCTGAAAGTGGTGAGAATCCACAGTGGCCGAATGGAAGGTCAACCTTGACAATCCTGTTTGAGCCCGGGAAGCCTAACCTGCATCTTGGGAAGGATCTATAGGAGATGGGCTGGCAGAACAATCCAAAAGGGTTCCTGACAAAGAAATACAGGACTCAGAAACTGACATTCAACATCAAGTATCAGACTGCAGAAATAAGCCCAGGGCATAATGTGATGGAGGACTCAAGATATTAGGAGAAATCATTGAAAAAGTTAACGCCAGGTTAGTTAAAGTGAATTATTTCAAGTTCAGGCCATTGGCTGCAACCTCCACCTCCTGGTTTCAAGCGATTC
The DNA here is from genome assembly GCF_000001405.40 of Homo sapiens. Classification (NCBI taxonomy): domain Eukaryota; kingdom Metazoa; phylum Chordata; class Mammalia; order Primates; family Hominidae; genus Homo; species Homo sapiens. The sequence goes on from NC_000006.12 coordinate 10,632,298, forward strand.
TCCTGCCTCAGCCTCCCAAGTAGCTGGGATTACAGGTGCCCGCCACCATGCCTGGCTAACTTTTGTATTTTTAGTAGAGACGGGGTTTCATCATGTTGGCCAGGCTGGTCCCGAACTCCTAACTTCAAGTGATCTGCCCACCTCAACCTTCCAAAGTGCTGGGATTATAGGCGTGAGCCACTGCGCCTGGCCTAGAATATTTTTTAATGTATGTAGTAAATCCTACGGCAGCCATTAAAAATTACATCAGTAGATGAAATACAATACAATCATAAAAATGCTCAATTAAAATCAGAGAAGGCGGCGGGGCGCGGTGGCTCACGCCTGTAATCCCAGCACTTTGGGAGGCCAAGGCAGGCAGATCACCAGGTCAGGAGACCGATACCATCATGGCCAACAGGGTGAAACCCTGTCTCTACTAAAATACAAAAAATTAGCTGGGCATGGTGGTGCGCGCCTGTAATCTCAGCTACTAGGGAGGCTGAGGCAGGAGAATCACTTGAACCCAGGAGGCAGAGGTTGCAGTAAGCCAAGATCACGCCACTGCACTCCAGCCTGGGCGACAGAGCGAGACTCCGTCTCAGAAAAAAAAAAAAGCAATAGTTTGAAATTGTATGAATAATCAAAATTATTAATATATATGAGTAATGGGTCATGTTAAAACTTAGTCCCTAATCTTCCACAGTCTACAGCAGTTTATATGGAAACACTGTCTCCTCTAAAATCCACAGCCAGTTGTGGGGAGATTTTGCCATCCAATGTTGCTGGGACCCTTCAAAACTAAATGAATAAGGGAAATGAGTTACTCATTCAATTATTCATTGGAAGAATCAGCTGAGTGCCCAAATGTGCCAGGCACTATGCTGAGCACTTTGGATAAAAACTCTTAAGACCTGGCCATGCCTAATGAAGTACTCTTACTTGAACGGACAGAAATCTGGAAGGATCCTCCTGCTTAAAAGGTTAGGAATGATAAGCAAGATGGGAAATTACTTGAATATACCCAGATATGCATACCCAGGGAGAAGTTAGCCACAAAAGGAGAGGTAGATACAGACAGGTATATAACTGGACACAATTACAACAAATTAGATGACTCAACAACAGAAACAGGAAATGGGAACTAACCCTTTACCCCATCTCCCCAGTTACAGCCACACAGGACAGAAAGGAGGGTGAGTCACACTGAGTAGTCTTGGTAGCCCAGCCTGGATGAGGATGCATTGACTAAAAGATCAGAACATTTGCAGAACAAGAAGTAAGAAATACCACAGAATTGACACTCAACTGAGGAATGGCCAGGCATCAAAATAAGCAAATGGGATCTGGAAAAGTGAGTGCAACTGATAAAGTGGCCAAATGTAGAGACTGGTAGAGAAGTAAAATGTTTTAGAAATTGATTTATTTCTTAAAGAAGAATTCTTTCTCTCCACCCTTCTACCCCCAGGTGTCAAAAACTAAAATGAAGGTTTGGAGCTGTTATCTTTGTATCATTACTCTTCAAATTATAATCATAGTCACAGTATTATACAATGTGCATGTAAGTCAACCAGACAGTGGTCAAATAGATGACGTAGGTGGTGAATATCAAGCCCTTTCCCGACTGCACATCTGTGACGCAGCCCTAAATGGGAAGACGGTGCAAGTATTGCCAAGCGCTTTATCCACAATGTTTGGAATAGATTCTTGCCCTTACTATGTGCTAGAGAACCACTATATCACAACTCCTTTGTCCACAGAAGAAGCTGCATTCCCTTTGGCATATGTAATGACCATCAGTCAAGATTTCGATACGTTTGAATGGCTTTTCTGGGCTATTTACATGCCTCAAAATGTCTACTGTATTCACGTTGATAAGGCGGCCACGATTGACTTTAAAATTGCTGTGAGTGAATTATTGGAGTGCTTCTCAAATGCATTTATATCCTCACAGTCTGAGTATATTATTTATGGTGGAAAATCCAGGCTCCAGGCGGACCTGGCCTGCATGAGAGATCTTATAGCATCAACTGTTCAGTGGAGATATGTCACTAACACTGGTGATCACGATTTCCCCCTAAAAACCAACAGGGAGATAGTTCAGTATTTGAAAACAATGAATTGGACAAACATTACACCTAATTTAGTGTCTGTTCTGAAATCTACTGAAAGGATCAAATATACCCATAGAGAGTACAGAACCAGAGCACACGCTTTTGTCCTAAAGAAGCATAAAAAGAAGAGCCCACCTCCACGTCAACTCAAAATCCACTTTGGCTCAAGTTACGTTGCCCTTACAAGGGAATTTGTCCATTTTGCTCTTTATAATAAAATAGCCATTGAGTTACTCCAGCGGTCTCAAGATACCTACAGTCCAGATAAACATTTCTGGATTACACTCAACAATATTCCAGTTGAGTGTGGTTTCCTTTCTCATTTCTTTTTTGTTAATTTTTTTTTTTTTTTTGAGATAAAGTCTCCCTCCATCACCCAGGCTGGAGTGCAGTGGAATGATCTCAGCTCACTGCAACCTCCGCCTCCCGGGTTCAAGTGATTCTTCTGCCTCACCCTCCCAAGTAGCTGGCATTCAAGCGTGTGCCATCACACCAGGCTAATTTTTGCAATTTTAGTAGAGATGGGGTTTCTTCACGTTGGCCAGGCTGGTCTCAAACTTCTGGGCTCACATGATCCACCTGCCTCGTCCTCCCAAAGTGCTGGGATTACAGGCATGAGCCTGTAATTTTTATTTTTCAATCAAGGTGATGTATAATTATGATTTTTAAAATCAAATATTATTAAAAGCCTTCTTATAATAAAGATTTATGGCCTTATGCCCTGCTCCTCCCCATGTGCAGTCCCAATTCACAAAAAAAACTGTCATATTTTAGCTGTTCCTCCTAATGGTGACTTCTATGCAAAGAACATGCTTATGCTGCCATTTCTTGATACATTAATTTTAATATCAAGTAGCAATATCCTGTTATAGTGGTTAAGAATGCTTATATCCTCTACCCACAAATTTTCCTTATCTCTTTTAATATTGTGATTTTAAATCAATTGTCAATATTTACATGATCATAACTATGAAGCTATTGTTCATAGCTGCCAAGGACTCTACATTTTGTTTTTCCTGAGGTTTATGATTGCCTCAGGTTTTTTTCTTCCGTTACTTCTTATATATACTTATCACTAATTATTTCAAAATGCTTAATCTCATCGGTAAAGTAACTATGATTATTTTCCAATTGTTCACCTCTTTTTGTTGTTGTTGTTTTTTGAGACAGAGTCTCATTTTGTCACCCAGGCTGCAGTGCAGTGGTGCAATCTCTGCTCATTGCAACCTCTGCCTCCCAGGCTCAAGCGAGTCTCGTGCCTCAGCCTCCTGAGTAGCTGGGACTACAGGCATGTGCCACCATGCCTGGCTGATTTTTGTACTTTTAGTAGAGATAGGGTTTCACCATGTCATCCAGGCTGATCTCGAACTTCTGGGCTCAAGTCATCCACCGGCCTCAGCCTCATGAAGGTGTGAGCCACTGCACCCAGCCATGTTCCACTCCTTATGCCCTCCCAGTCTGGCTTCCTCTGACCTCCCAATCTGGACATTGTCTCTATGGGCCTGTTGTCTGCGTTTATCTTACCTGGAAACTCTCTTCCTTGTTATGATGTTGAATCTTACATTCCATAGAATCTACATTATCTATCTTTTATATCTATCTTTATCTATCTTTGAATATTTAAGAATTAAATAATACGAACTCACACATGTGCTTCAAAATAATCTGAGGGTAGATGGGGAAGTGAATCATGATTAGTTTATAATTATTGATACTGGATGATAGGTATGTCAGAGTTAATTATTGCTCTACAATTTTCGTGTGTTTAAAATCTTCTATAGTAAAAAGAATTTAAAACCTTAATAGCTGTTTCATTTTTTGAAGTTATTGTAAATAGGATAGTAATTTCTGTTATGTTTTTCTGATTATTTTACTTTGTTTATTGATTTTTGTATATTATTTTTAAATTCAGCCATATTGCTAAATTCTCTTATCCTTTTTTTTTTTTTTCTTTTTTTGAGACGGAGTCTAGCTCTGTTGCCCAGGCTGGAGTGCAATGGCACAATCTCGGCTCACTGCAACCTCCGCCTCCCAGGTTCAAGCAATTCTCCTGCCTCAGCCTCCCAAGTAGTTGTGATTACAGGTGCACGCCACCACACCCAGTTAATTTTTGTATTTTTAGTAGAGACGAGATTTTACCATGTTGGTCAGGCTGATCTCAAACTCCTGACCTCAGGTGATCCGCCCACCTTGGCCTCCCAGACTGCTGGGATTATAGCTGTGAGACCGGCCTGTCTTATCCTTTTTAACAGTTTTCTAGTTGATTCTCTTGGATTTTTCATGTATTCAATTATATAATGTGCAAATAAATGATAAATTAACCTAACTTCCAAAGGTGAGGTACATTTGTTTATCTAATTTGTTAACAACTACTTTCAGAATAATAGTATTGATAATGGTAATCCTCTTATTCTTAACTGTAATAAGAAACTTTCTAGGTGTGTGTTTGGTGAGTGCATACTTGTTTGTTGGGGATGGGAAGGGAGCCTTTAGCATCTTTCTCTACTTTTTCCAAGTCAATTGTCTACTTAGAGTTTTCATCTCTTCTGGAGTTGGTTTTTGATGAATTATATTTCCCTGGAAAATTATTCATTTCATGTAGATTTTCACATTTATTTTCAGAGTTGAACATATGCATCTCTTATAAATCTTTTAAATTCTTTATATATCTACCGTTAATTTCCTACTTATCAATTCTTATTTTGTGTAACTGTGATTTTTCTCTTTTTCTTTAAAAAATTAGCTCAGCTAACAGTTTCTTGCTGTTTGTTTCAATTCAAAGACCCAACACTCAGATTTCACTTATTCATTCTGCCATTTTTTTCTTTGCAAATGTATTAATTTCCAGTTATTATTAATTCTTCATTTTGCTTTTATGAACTTTGTTTTGGTATTCTTTTTCTAACATTTGCTGGTAGATGTTTGTTTCTTTTTCTTTTATTCCTCCTTGTTTATTAATTATTTAAAGCTGTAATTTTCTTCTGGTCACTGCATTAGGTACGAGATTCTCATAAGTTCTAAGTAGGCTTTTCATCACTATTTTCTAGATATTGTACAATTTTAATTTCAGCTTCCTCTTTGACCAAAGAGTTGTGTGAGAAAAAAAGGTGTTTTTTGTTTTGTTTTGTTTTTTGGTTTTTGGTTTTTTTAAGACAGAGTCTTGCTCTATCGCCCAGGCTAGAGTACAATGGTGCGATCTCAGCTCACTGCAACCTCCACCTCCCAGGTTCAAGCGATTTCCTGCCTCAGCCTCCCAAGTAGCTTGGGATTACAGGCACCCGGCACCACGCTCGGCTAATTTTTGTATTTTTGGTAGAGATGGGGTTTCACCATATTGGCCAGGGTGGTCTCAAACTCCTGGCGTCAGGTGATCTGCCTGCTTCAGCCTCCCAAAGTGCTAGGATTATAGGCATGACCCACTGCACCCAGCCAAAAAAAAAAAAAAGTTTTTTTAAAGTGTCAGGTGGCATTTAAAAAATTTCTGGTGTGTGTGTGTGTGTGTGTGTGTGTGTGTGTGTGTGTGTGTTTAAATTAGTATTTAATTTTTCTCTTTTATTCCATTTGATCACAGAATGTTATCCGTATTATTTCTACTTCGCGGAAGTTGTTTGCTCTGTGGCTGCATCTATGATCAGTTTTAGCAAATGTTTTATGGACACTTGAAAAAAACATGTATTCTTGGTTTTCAAGGTATAAAATTCTACATATATTCATATAAATTAACATGCCTTATTTGGTATGTTTTAGGTATTATAACTTTTTTGTAATCTGTTTATTGGCTCTGTCAATGCTTAATTAAAGGGAAGTTAAGCCTACTAGAACTTTGTTTCTCTTCCTCTTGCAGCATCCTTCCCCTGGGTTGTTGTTGTTGTTGTTTTGAGACAGAGTCTCGCTCTGTCACTCAGGCTGGAGAGTGCGGTGGTGCGATCTAGACTCACTGCAACCCCTACCTCCCGAGTTCAAGCGATTCTCCTGCCTCAGCCTCCCGAGTAGCTGGGATACAGGTGCCCACCACCATGCCCAGCTAATTTTTGTATTTTTAGTAGAGACAGGGTTTTGCCATGTTGGCCAGGCTGGTCTCAAACTCCTGACCTCAGGTGATCCGCCTGCCTCGGCCTCCCAAAGTGCTGGGATTACAGGCGTGAGCCACCACGCCTGGCCCTTCTCCTGCCTTTCTAACAACAATTATGAGCTGGCAAAGAAGAATTTCAGGATCCAGCTCCGATCACAAAGGAGGATACATTTACAGCTGAAAGGATTTTTACAGGATCCAGCTCCATGATCACAAAGGAGGATACATTTACAGCTGAAAGGCAACAAGTTAGTAACTGGCACAGTCCACCCCTTTGGCTATTGTTTCCATTTGTATCCCTACAGGAATTTGGACTTCCATATAACAACAAAACAACTCTGTTTCCACCTGGGACACATCTACCCTTTGTGCAAGTGGGAAAGTTGTCATACTTTCTCTTAAACTAGGAGACACTCAATCTCAAAAGTCATTCTATCCATTGCTGGCTATATGAATGAATTACTCCTCCAATGTAGTCCAGTCCAACAGAATATTCTGTTACCTAAAGAATAAATAATAGAGTTAACCTCCCATAACCAGTATATAAAATAACAATGGGAAGAAGGAAAATTAGAAATGGTTAGCATATATAAATATATACAAGCAAAGCTACTATAGTCCTCACTTTTATAATTGGCCACAAGATCAATTATAAAATCATATCTATGACTTTCTTCTTCCACTTCCCATTCCAGATTTCCCTTGCCTCAGCCAGACCTCAGCTGGTCAAGTTTCTTTACCCGGTGGGGTGACCCAAATTATCTTCCCTGAAGTGTATGAGTCTTCAATAGCCTTGCCTCTTTCTGGTTGCTGTAGTTTTCCATTAACCTTTACTATTAAGCATGGAAGTACTAAGAGATGCCCCCACCAGAGAATTCCATAGTCCACCTTGCCTCCGCTCAGTATGCATTTTCCTCTTGAAGATTTGGATCAATCACTCCAGCCAGTAGAGTGAAACTTATTTCTTCTCCCTGTTGGTTAAGTGGTGCGAGCACTTCAGAATGGCCAAGTGGCAACATCATCTTTGCATTCGATGGCTCCACTGTTGTGCCTCCTGGTGACCACACTTCCCTCCTTGGAAACTAAGATCTTCAGATCAGCAGAGCCCAGAGTTGTAAGAATAGGAAGCAAAATTCTGTGCATGGGTTTTATGAGCCACTCCTACTTTCAGTCCTTCATTCCCAGACCCTTGTGTTCTAGCTATAGAGAAGATAGCACCATAGGTGTGGTCTCTGGTTCAAAGCATGTACTGTATCCTTAGACAAAGTATATGTGGCACCCAAGGACAGTGGTGAAGGAAAATCCTCCAATAAGCAGTACTTCAAGTCATATATTTGGTAGTCTACTTTGGAAAGAGAAAGATCCATTCTTTTAGGGAGTTGTCTCCCAACTCGTTCTAGAACTGAGCCTTCAGTAAGCCATTACGGATTTCAACAAGGCCAGACACTTCCAGCTGATGAGATATGTGTGGAGAATTGTTAATTCTATGGACGTGAGTCAACTGACATGCTTTCTTTGTATCAAATGAGTTTCCTTGATAAGAAGGATCAGAATGAGTTTTCTTATCATGGTACAGAGTGACTTGATCACAAATAAGTCATTTTGTGAGGCCAGGCACGGTGTCTCAGGCCTGTAATCCCAGCACTTTGGGAGGCTGAGGCAGGCAGATCACCTGAGGTCAGGAGGTCGAGACCAGCCTAGCCTGGCCAATATGGTGAAACCCTGTCTCTACTAAAAATATGAAAATTAGCCAGGCATGGTGGCAGGCACCTGTAATCCCAGCTACTCAGGAGGCTGAGGCAGGAGAATCGCTTGAACCCGGGAGGTGAAGGTTGCAGTGAGCTGAGATCTCACCACTGTGCTCCAGCCTGGATGACAGAGCGAGACTCTGTCTCAAGAAAAGAAAACAAAAAACAAGTCATTTTGTGAGTCCGTGGATAGTGGTGCTAGCAGGACGACTGTGGGTAGGGAAGTCAGATCCATATTCAGAATGCGTGTCTATTCTAGTGAAGGCAAATCTCTATTCCTTCGATGATGAATGAGGTCAGCATAATGAACCTGCCACCTGATAGCTGACTGATCCCCTTAGAAAACTGCCATTTCAGTGCTCAGTGTTGGTCTCTGCTGTCAGCAGATTAGGCACGCAGTGACACTGGCCCGGTCAGCCTTGGTAATGGAAAGTCCATACTATCAAGCTCATACATAGCTTCCATCTCTGCCACCATAGCCACTTTGTTCACGGGCCCGTTGAGGAAGCACTGGGTTTTCTGGGGAAAGTGCCTGGCTGATATACACAGAGTGTGTCATTTGTTTCAACTGATAGTCAAAAGCTTTCTCGTCTTCCTCTGTAGTGTGTGCTATCTGGTGAGAATTCACATGGGACACAAATATCTTCATCGTTTGTGCTTTTTCTTCCCCAGGTTTCCTGTTCACCAATCTTTCGATCCTGTTTTTTCTAAGTCTAACATTTGAGACCAACTATGCAACTGCTCATGTAATGAGTATAGAGCCATATGTCTGGCCAACTGTCTCTCCAAAGTAGACAGACTACCAATGAATTACTCAAAGATCTGACTACTAGAGAATTTTCTTTTTTGTCTTTTTTCTTTTTTCTTTTTTCTTTTTTTGAGATGGAGTCTCACTCTGTCACCTTGGCTGGAGTGTTGTGTTGTGTTCTTGGCTCACTGCAACCTCTGCCTCCTGGGTTCAAGCGATTCTTGTGCCTCAACCTCCTGAGTAGCTGGGACCACAAGCGTGTGCCACCACGCCCAGCTAATTTTTGTATTTGTAGTAAAGACTGAGTTTTGCCATGTTGGCCAGGCTGGTCTCGAACTCCTGGCCTCAAGTGATCTGCCTGCCTCAGCTTCCCAGGGTGCTGGGATTACAGGCGTGAGCCACCGCACCCAGCTTCAGAATTTTCTTTCACCACTGCCCTTCAGTGTCACCCTGATGGGTTACAACTGATCTTACCACTTCAGCCTCCCAACTAGCTGGGGCTACAGGTGCACACCACCATGCTTGGCTAATTTTTTTACTTTTGTAAAGATGGGGTCTCACTATGTTTCCCAGGCCGGTCTTGAACTCTGGACCTCAAGTGATCCACCTGCCCTCAGCCTCCCAAAGTGTTGGGATTACAGGAATGAGCCACACCCAGCCCAGAGGCATTTCTTTCAACTGCCCCCTGAACAGGAAAATTCACTCGCTAGCTCTCAACCTTCTCACCCTCCTCTATTCATCTGTCTTCATTCAAGGCAGAATCTTCTGAAACATCCTGCATTCTTCCCTTTTCAATGACTCCCACATTCCTTTTAGTTTCTAAACCAGGAGGATTTATTGGATCCGATCCTTCCTTTCCATTCATGCCACACTGCCCTGGCTAGGAAGGAGCCATTGAGATATTTGAGTAGGCTTAAAATAAACAGATCTAAGGACAGAGATTCATTTATCTGACTGTCCCAGGCAGAATTAATCCTTCTTCCCCTCTACTCCCTTATCACTTTTATTTCTCCTCTGTGATTGGATTTCTGACATTTTATCTAATGTCTATTTCTCTTCATATCCAGTTTGGGAATCCTTTTAGAAAAGGCTCAGTCATATTCAGTGCCCTTAATTCCTTATACACGGTCGAATTAAATGTTCACTGTTGAGTACTGTATGTAGTACTCCCTTACAGGCAACAGTAAACATTTGAATAACAATATGAATAAGTAGTATCTTTTCCAGCTCGTTTTGTCAGTATATTAAATTATATTTAAATGTTTAAAATATTAAATTCAGTTTTGTGCTAGCAATCTTGTAAGAAAAAATTTACAATCCAATATTTCACAGACTACAGCAACGCTGGTCACAAGGCTTTGGGGCCGTGTTTGTAGTAACTATTAACTACAAGATCCATGTGACTCCCATAGAATTCATGTTTATATTCCAAGAGAAATCAGAGTTACTCAGGATCAGCTGGATATGTACAAAAGAGTCACTTTTGAGGCCCACGATTGTTGTTAGATTAAAGGACTTGCTTAGCTGGGCATGGAGGTGTGTGCCTGTAGTCCCTAGGCTACTCAGGAGGCTGAGAGAGGGGGATGGCTTGAGCCTGGGAGGCAGAGGTTGCAGTGAGCTAAGATCGTGCCCCTGCGTGCCAGCCTGGGTGATAGAGTGACTCCTCCATCTCACACACACACAAAAAAACTTGAGATAATGATTCGGTTCCATGTATAGGTTGAGCACCCCAAATCCAAAATTCTGAAATCCAAAATGCTCCAAAATCTGAAATTTTTTGAGCACTAACATGATGTTCAAAGGAAATACTCACTGGAACATTTAGGACTTCAGATTTTGGATTTGGGATGCTCATCCAGTAAGCACAATGCAAATATTCCAATATCTGAAAAAATCCAAAATATGAAACACTTCTGGTGCCAAGCATTACAGATTCAACCTGTAATACATCAGCAACATCAATAATTAACATTTATTGAATTCTTAGTATGTGCCAGGCACTGTGCTAAGTGCTTTCTAAAGACTGTCTCAGTTATTCATCCTGACATTCCCATGATACAGGTCCTGTGTTGATTTTTCCTTTTACAGAAGCAGACATTGCCACACAGCTAACAAGTAGTGAAATGAAGATTCAAACCAAACTATTTAATATGAAACAAGTACTTCTCCCCTATCTCATGATGGCATAGACGATTTTTCCATTTCTAAAACAATCTGACATTTCTTTTCTAGTGTAAGGACGTTATCATGTTAAAATAAACTTTTACAAACACCCCCAAACCTGCCCATTGCCCCAGTCTGATTTAATCTAACCACTTCCTTCATCCCCTTGCAGCTTGCATAACTAAACACCATCACTTCCCCTTTTTTACACATTTTACTCCCTTGACCTTCCCCTTCTCCATTCATCTCTTCCTAGCTTATTTTTCTTTGCCATTCATAATACCTACTGTCAATCTGTCTTTTTGCAAACATTCTTTTTGCCCCTTTGTCTTTTGGTTGTACCCATCTGGAAATCCACAGTCCTATAACAAATTCAGATATCCATTATCTCTACGTTTAGACAGCTGAGCATTAGCGCAGAAATTGCACAACCAAGCAGAACATTATCTCTGTATGTTCTCAACCTACTGCTTCAACTGGATCCTCAATTCCAGCCAGGCAGTTGCTATGATGATCTGATCGTCACACATTTCCACTACCAGCAACGACTACTTCAGACTTTCTCCTCTCTTCTCAAACTTCATATAATTAACGCATGTCAGAAAATATTATTCTTTTGATTTTTTTCCCGTAACCATTCAAACATATAAAGACAATTCTTAGCTTGCGGGCTATACAGAAACATATGGCCAGCCCAAGGGCCAGAGTTTATGCCTTGTTCTAGGTGTTCTCGTCACCCTTACAACCTTAATTACTATCTACACATGATAATTCCAAATTTAAACCTGGAGCTCAAATACATTTTTAAAGTTCGAAACGCACATGCTCAACTGGTTTCTCAACCTCTCCTCTTGGGTGTCTCACTGGGTCCTTAAAATCAGCATATCCCAAGATGACCCCAACTCCTCCCTCACTCCACAAATCCAAACAAGCACCAGGTTCTGCTGAGTCTACATCCTGTCTATTTCTTGTAACCATTCTATTCTTACCATTCACTCTGCAATCATTCCAATCCATGCCATCTTCATCATTTGCTCTATTGCAACTGCTTCCTGATTGGTCTCCTAATATCTCCCCGTCCCCTTGCAACCCATTGCAGCCAGTCTAATATTTAAAAACACAAATTTGATAGGATTACTTTCCTGCTTCAAGCACTTTTGCCACTTTGCCAAAAAGTCTTTAACTCATTAAAGCCTGCAGGTTGCCACAGGGTCTACCCAACTCTTGTTCCTCCCTCCTCACCTTGGGCCTCTCACCTTCTTTTCTCTCTCTCTTTTTCTTTCTTTCTCTCTCTTTTTCTTTCTTTCTTTCTCTTTCTTTTTTTTTCTTTCTCTTTCCTTCCTTCCTTCCTTCTGTCTGTCCTTCCTTCCTTCCTGCCTGCCTGCCTGCCTTCCTTTCTTTCTTTCTTTGTGGGGCAGCATGGTGGACACCTTCTTACTCTGTTGCTCAGGCTGGAGTGCAGTGGCGCAATCACAGCTCACTGCTGCCTCAACCTCCTGGGCTAAAGCAATTCTCCTGCCTCAGCCTCCTGAGTAGCTAAGACCACAGGTGTGTGCCACCACACTTGGCTAATTTTATTTTTATTTTTTGTAAAGACAGGTTCTCCCTATGTAGCTCAGGGTGGTCTTGAACTCCTGGCCTCAAGCAATCCTCCTGCCTTGGCCTCCCAAAGTGCTGGGATTATAGGCATGAGCCACCACACCCAGCTTGCACCTCCTCCCTTGTTACTCCAGCCATCCTGGTACTATAACGGTCTATACATTTTAAGCCTTCTCTAAGAAATCCTTCCCTACCCTGAGACCATAAAAATATTCTCCCATATTTTCTATTAATTGTTTTTCTGGTTTTGATTTACCATTTTAACATATCTGAAAATTATTTGTGGGGAGCGGCATAAGCAATACATCTAATATTATCTTTATCCATTTGGATAGCTAATGTTTCCAGTACCATTTATTGAATAGTGCTGATTTTTAGTGCTATTTCCTTCTCAGTCCAAGTTCCTTGGGTCAGTTTCTAAGCTATTATTTTCCATTAGTCTATTTTTTTAATAGCAATAGCATCATTTCAGTTATTATGCTCAAAATGTTCTTGGCTATTTTTGGTCCTTGCACTTGCCAATTAGTACTAGGTTTAGCTTGTAAGGTTCTGATAAGAATTCGGCTGTGATTTTTACTGGATGATGTCAATAAAAAGTTAGCACTCCCCTTCAGTGGATAATATCAAAAAGCCATAAGAAGAATGAGAAGTAGAAACTCTAACTTTATTGAAACTAGAAGAAATAGAAACTGTAAACCACAAAGTATGTGAAGGAGCTTCCAAAGCAGCAAAGATCAAACAGTGTTGCATGTGGGAAGAAGCAGGCAGGGGATATTGATTTCCACAAATCTCAGAAAGAGCCAGCAAAGTCGACTTCTCCAAGGTGAGAGGACACTCTTAGAGGAACAAAAGCACAAGTCCTGGCTTATTTTTATAGCAGTGCGATCAGAATGCCTGAACTGACAGAAAGAATGTCTATGGACCTGGTTTGGTTCCAAAGAAGCAAAGGCAAAGAGGCTAAATGAGCAAACTCACGGATAAGTTGGATGTATAACTCCCAACCAAAAATCTACTGCAAACATGTTATTCTTTTTCTTTTTGAGACGGAGTCTTGCCCTGTTGCCAAGGCTGGAGTGCAGTGGCGTGATCTTGGTTGGCTCACTGCAAGTCCCGCCTCCCGGGTTCACGCCGTTCTCCTGCCTCAGCCTCCTGAGTAGCTGGGACTACAGGCACCTGCCACCACGCCCACCTAATTTCTTTTTTCTTTTTTCTTTTTTTTTTGTATTTTTAGTAGAGATGGGGTTTCACTGTGTTAGCCAGGATGGTCTCAATCTCCTGACCTCGTGATCCGCCCATCTCGGCCTCCCAAAGTGCTGGGATTACAGGCATGAGCCACCATGCCTGGCCCAAACATGTTATTCTTAAAGATGAAATCTCAGAAGTATTTTATTTAAAGTAATAAGGATGACATTACCACTTTCATATTCAACATTTTAAAGGAAACTGTAGCCAGCTCGATAAGGCAAGAAAAAGAAAAAAGCTATAAGAGTTGAAAGAGAAAGACCTTTTCTGTCAAAAGTAGAAATTAGGACAGGAGGAGAGGATACACCAGATTTATCAAATCTTTGCCTCTACTTTTTAGGCAGTTCTTAGGCAATTTCTTCACAATTACCATGAGCACCAAAATAATGTTATCAACAACTACTTACACTTAACTATGAGTTTAACTTATTTCTCTGCTTGCTATGTTTTCTTATATTCCATTTATCTCTTTCTTAAATTAATATTTTATAAAATTAGAGTACATATTTGGGTAATTATTAATAAATGTTCTGAAAGTAGTATACACTATTTGAGCTCTTATATTTGTTTTCACTCTTGAATGATAGATTTGTTGGGTACATAATTCTGAATTTAAGATAATCTCCCTTGGAACTTTGCTCTGATCACTTTTTGTATCAAATGTCACTAATGAGGACTCTGTTACTAATTAGATCTTTTTCCTTTCTAGATAATCTATTTGCTATATAATCTTTTAGGATTTTTTTTTCTTTGACTTTGAAGACTTGAAATTTTATCAGAAAGTATCTAATGTGTGGATTTCTTTTAAAAATTAACTGTCTGACACTCAATAGTTACTTTAAAAGACAAGCTCAATGGCACATGCCTATAATACCAGCTGCTCAGGAGGCTGAGGTGGGTGGATAATTTGAGCCCAGAAGTTCAAGACCAGCCTGGGCAACATAGAAAGACTCCACCTCAAGTTAAAAAAAAAAAGGCACTTTTAATCAGAAGATTCAAATTTTTCTTTAGCTCTTGAAAACGGTTTTCTAAATTTTTTTGATAGGTCCTCTTTCATTCAAATAGAGGTACTGGGCCTTGGATATTGGCAGTGAACTCTGGCTCCTGCCAGAATAGACACATCTGTCCACGTGGCCTTGAGTTTCAGCAACAATATCCAGTTAACAGCTTTGGTGGCAACAACTGTAGCATCGCAGCTGGCACTGCAGCACCAAGGGAGGCCCTGGGGCCTTTCCACCTGAAGGCAGCTTGTTCTGCTCATCAGAACAAGTGGGGATTCTGGAACTGCTATTTGCACCTCAAATAGTAAAGCCAGATCCCCACCCTCTAGCCCACCAAGCTACAGTATATAAAAACCAAAAAACAATACCTAAAATGTTCATTTATCTCAGGATGTGTATTAGTTTCATATGGCTGTTGTAATAGATTACCAAAAATTCGGTGGCTGGTTTTGATTGTTTGTTTGTTTGTTTTTGAGATGGAGTCTCGCTCTTGTCACCCAGGCTGGAGTGCGATGGCGCGATCTTGGCTCACTGAAACTTCCGCCTCCTGGGTTCAAGCCATTCTCCTGCCTTAGCCTCCAGAGTAGCTGGGATTACAGGTGCACACCACCACACTCGGCTAATTTTTGTACTTTTTTTAGTAGAGACGAAGTTTCACCGCATCGGCCAGGCTGACCTCGAACTCCTGACCTCAGGTGATCTGCCCGCCTCGGCCTCTGAAAGTGCTAGGATTACAGGCGTGAGCCACGGCACCCAGCCTCAGTGGCTGTTTTAACACAAATTTATGATCTTACCGTTCTATGGGTCAGAAGTCTGACGTGGGTCTCACTGGACTAAATTCAAGGCATTGGCAGGGCTGCAGTCCTAACTGGAGGGTCTAGGGAGCATGTTTCCTCATCTTTTCTAGCTTCTAGAGGCTGCCCACATACTTTGGCACCTGGTCATCTTTCTCCATCTTCAAACCCAACAACATCGCATCTCTCTGACTGTTCTTCCCTCATCCCATCTTCCTCTGACCACGGCAGGAAAGTTTCTGTTTTTAAGGAACAATGTGATAAGACTCGGCCCAACTTTACTTCTTATTCCCAAATTAGTCAACAAAGAATTTGAGAAATGGATTCTGAAACTCATGTTACCAACATTCATGAATGACTTTTGTTTTTGTTTGTTTGTTTGTTTTTTGAGATGGCCTCACTCTGTTGCCCAGGCTGGAGTGCAGTGGTGCGATCTCGGCTCACTGAAACCTCTGTCTCCCAGGTTCAAGCAATTCTCCTGCCTTAGCCTCCAGAGTAGCTGGGATTACAGGTGCCCGCCACCACGCCAGGCTAATTTTTTTTTTTGTATTTTTAGTATTTTCTAGTAGAGATGTGGTTTTACCATGTTGGCTAGGCTGGTCTCGAACTCCTGGCCTCAGGTGATCCATCCACCTCGGCCTCCCAAAGTGCTGGGATGACAGACGTGAGCCACCACACCCAGCCTTGAATGACTTATTTTTTTATGGCCTTATGTGTAGGGATTTTGTAAGGGACCACAGGGTCAAGATTAGGGTGAGACATGTGAAACACCTGGGGTATACAACTCAAGAAGGTGTTCACGTTCAGGGTCAGCACTCACATAACCCTGAGAGTGAATGCCTCATCACTTGACCCTAGTCCTGCCCTGATACACAATAAACCTGCACATAAATCGTTAATACAGAAATAGTGTTACTCTAAGAGTGTGATGCAAGTTATTCAAATAGCAGATTCAGGCATCACATATCACCAATGAAGTGGCACTGTACAAGTAAGTTTTAGGAAAATATGTGCTTTACCTTAAGTGATAGATGCCTTACATTGAAACATTACAGACCCAAATATTGTTAAGCCAAACATACACCTCTGCAGTCTGGGGTTAGCGTTAGCAAAGCAGGCTATAACAAATTAAATTGTAAGACTAATAATAATGATTTAAAAACAAGAAAAGCAATTGAAAACAAAACCAACTCAGCATCACACTGATAAAAAAGTGCCCTTATGGAGTTCCAATGAGATCCATTCATGTGTGTATGCAGTAGGAGCTTCATGAGATTGGCAAGTTTAATAAGAAGCCAGACTCAGCAATGGGATATTGAATATAAACCCTAGTAATGCATTGATTTTAATTTTTGAAAACGAAATTATACTTTCCTTTACTATTTAGTAATTAGTTACTAAATAATAATTAGTTACTAAATAGTAAAGACTATTACTGTTAGTAATAGTAATAGTAAATAGTGAAGACTCCTCAGTTGCCATAAAAATTAGTCTATTCAGTTCCACATTATATCACCATAAGAAAAGAGGAATATGTGGATCGCTTTGCTGCCAAAAAGGATCCTCAAGGTATACTAGGCTGGGCATAGTGGCTCATGTCTGTAATCCCAGCACTTTGGGAGGCCGAGGAGGGCGGATCACCTGAGGTGAGGAGTTCAAGACCAGCCTGGCCAACATGGCAAAAACACATCTCTACTAAAAAATACACAAATTAGCTGGGCATGGTGGCAGGCACCTGTAATTCCAGCTACTCAGGAGGCTGAGGCAGGAGAATCACTGGAACCCGGGAGGCAGAGGTTGCACTGAGCCGAGATTGTGCCACTGCATTCCAGCCTGGGTGACAAGACGAAACTCCGTCTCAAAAAAAACAAAAAAAAAAAAGGTATATTAGTTGACTACTGACCACCCTTTGACAAGATGAGGTAAAGGTGAAAATGGAAAAGGTGAATACTGTTTGGAGTGCTCAGTTCAGTGGTGTCTGGCATATTCACACATAAGGGCAACCAGCACAATGTGTTTAGAACATTTTCATCACCTGAAAAAGAAACTCGTGCCCCTTAGCTATCATTCTATTCTTCTCTCCCCTCTCCTCTTTCCCCATTCCCATCCCTACCACCCAGCCCTAAATAAGCACTAAATTAATTTCTGTTCCAGAGAGTTCTCTATTCTGAATTTTCATATAAATAGGATTATATAATATGTGACCTTTAAAAACTGGCTTCTTTCACTTAGCATAATATTTTCAAGGTACATCCATGTTGTAACATGTATCAGTACTACTTTTTTTTTTTTTTTTGAGACGGAGTCTCGCTCTGTCCCCCAAGCTGGAGTGCAGTGGCGCGATCTCTGCTCACTGCAAGCTCCGCTTCCCGGGTTCACGCCATTCTCCTGCCTCAGCCTCCTGAGTAGCTGGGACTACAGGCGCCTGCCACCACGCCTGGCTAATTTTTGTATTTTTAGTAGAGATGGGGTTTCACCGTGTTAGCCAAGATGATCTCGATCTCCTGACCTTGTGATCCGCCTGCCTCAGCCTCCCAAAGTGCTGGGATTACAGGCGTGAGCCACCGCGCCTGGCCTATCAGTACTACATTTTTAATGGCTAAATAATATTTCATTGTATATCACGTTTTGTTTGTCCATTCAATAGTTGATAGACATTTGAATTGTTTCCACTTTTAAGCTAGTATGAATAATGCTACTATAAACATTCATGTAAAAATGTTTGTGTGGACATTTGCTTTCATTTCTTTTAGGTATACAACTAGGAACAGAATTTCTGGGTCATGTTCTTGCTTAACTGAGGAACTGCCAGACTGTTTTCCAAAGGGGCTGTACCATTTTACATTCCAACCAGCAATGCACGAGGATTTCAATTTCTCTACATCCCTGTCAGCACTTGTTATTATCTAACTTTTTAATTCTAGCCATCCTAGTGGATGTAAATTGGTATCTCACTGTGGCTTTGATTTAAATTTCCCTGATAACTAACTATGTCAAACATCTATCTATTTATGCGTTTATTTGCCATTTGTGTATCTACTCAGCAGAAATGCTTTGCCCACTTTTCAATCGGGTTACTTGTCTCATTATTGAATTGTAAGAGTTCTTTATATATTCTGGATACAAGCCCCTTATTAGATACATGATACTATGATATGCAAATACTTTCTTTCATTCTGTGGGTTGTCTTCTTTTCATTTTTTTTTTTTTGGAGACAGAGTCTCGCTCTGTGTCCCAGGCTGGAGTACAGCGGCACGATCTCGGCTCACTGCAACCTCTGCCTCCTGGGTTCAAGCAATTCTCTTGCCTCAGCCTCCCAAGTAGCTGACATTACAGGCACGGGCCACCACGCCCAGCTAATTTTGTGTATTTTTAGTAGAGATGGGGTTTCACCATGTTGGCCAGACTGGTCTCAAACTCCTGACCTCAGGTGATTCACCCATCTCAGCCTCCCAAAATTCTGGGATTACAGGCATGAACCACTGTACCCAGCCTTATTTTTTATTTTTTTTGAGGCAGAGTCTTGCTCTGTTGCCCAGGCTGGAGTGCAGTGGCACGTTCTTGGCTCATTGCAACCTCTGCCTCCCGGGTTCAAGCAATTCTCCTACCTCAACCTCCCAAGTAGCTGGGACTATAGGCATGCACCACCAACACCGGGCTAATTTTTGTATTTTTTGGTAGAGACAGAGTTTCACCATGTTGGCCAGGCTGGTCTCAAACTCCTGACCTCAAGTAATCCGCCCACCTCAGCCTCCCAAAGTGCTGGGATTACAGTCATGAGTCACCGCACCTGGTTTGTCTTTTCTTAATTGTATCTTTTGAAGCACAACAGTTGTTAATTTTGATGAAGTCAAATCTTTTATTTTGTCACTTGCATTTTTGGTGTCCTATCTAAGAAACTATTGCTTAACCCAAGGTCATGAAGATTTATTGACTCCTATGTTTTCTTCTGTAAGTTTTACTGTTAGCTCTCGTATTTAGATCTTTGATCCATTTTGACTTAATTTTTGTTAAAGATACGAGGTAGAGATCCCAATTCATTCTTTTTTATGTGGATATTCCATTATTTCTGTGTTATTTGTTGAAAAGACTATTCTTTCCTGCATCAAATTGTCATGGAAACCTTGTTGAAAATCAATTGACCATAGTTATCTATATCGGGGTGTCTAATCTTTTGGCTTCCTGGGCCACATTGGAAGAAGAATTGTCTTGGGCCACACAGAAAATACACTAACACTAATGATAGCTGATGAGCTAAAAAAAAAAAAAAAAATTTGCAAAAAAACTCATGATGTTTTAAGAAAGTTTACAAATTTGTGTTGGGCTGCATTCAAAGTCACCATGGGCCACGGGTTGGACAGGCTTGATCTATGTCATTGGTACTGTTATGTCAATACCACATTGTCTTGATTACTGTAGCTTTATGGTAGGTTTTAAGATCAGTAAGTGTGAGTTCTTCATTTTTGTCCTTTTTAAAGATTGTTTGGCTATTTTGGAGTCACTGGCTTTTTAAACTTTATCTATTCCTTTCTTTCTATTAAACATAACTGAAGCGCCCTTTCTGTTTTCCTTTCAATTTCCACAAGCCTTAGTTCATTTAGGACCATAATTTGCTCCCAATACTTACATGGGTTCATGCTATTTATTTTTATTTTTATGCCATCTGTCTCTACCATTTTGGAACAGAGATGATCAAATAGCCCCTGTGTCTAATTTCTTTTTGGAGTCATTGGTCTCGATGTTGTTTGATTCTTGTTCTTTAGAACCTCCCATTCCTCTTGGGCCATCTTTCTTAAAATCATACCCTAGGCTTTTTGTCTTCATTGTTATGGGCACTTGTTTGCTAATGGACCCTGACTCTGCATGCACCTGTTGAGGGAAGAGGTGCCAGGACCACATGCTTAAGAGCACTCTCTCTCTCATATAACCTGTGGCCTGGAAAAGAGACACGGTGTGGTTAGCTACAAAGACCAGATTATGTGATCTATCTAGGCTCCTCCATTCTGAAAATGTTGGCCAGAAGCTGTAAGAGAATCCTATAAAAACGAACTGCATTTTCCCTAAATCTGTGGGCTATCTATTCTAGACAGAATCCATTCACTGATAGTGCAAAGAAGTACAAAGATGCCCTCCAATCAGCCTTCCTTCTAGTTGTAATTATGGCAAGACACCAGAATATTATGATACAAATTCCCTCTCTTCTTCAAGGTCTGGGGCTCCTTTGCACACAGTCTGCTGAATACTCACATTTTTAGCAGAGTCCGAGACTGACCAAAGTGTTGTCTGAGAGCTGGTCAGAGGTCTGGGCAATCTCTGAGTCACCTGGGACCCCAGTGACTTCTTATTTCTTCCCATCCTTCTGTGACTTCCTAAAAAGATAGGAAGGAACTAAAACATAAGACATTCAACAGCTTTCTTATAATAATCTCCAAGAAATATAATAAGAAAAGATCCCACTAACATAAAATACATCTAAACAATTTAAACAAGAAATGTTCAAGATAAAAGTCAAGGTGGGGAAAAAATGTTCAGCTTATGTAACTGATAAAGGTTTAATCACCTTTTTATATAAAGTGGCCAATTACAAATCAATAAGAGAGGACTGTCTTTATAAAAAATTGTGGGATGAGGAGGAGTTGGATGCTAGTCCAGACTATTTCACAGTTGCCACCAAGGGAAACTCGAGGAAAGAAGAAGGAGACGGTGAAGTGGCAGATTTAGTATTTATGTGAAACTATACAGTCGTCCTTCAGTATATGGGGGGATTGTTTCCAGGACCCCCACATATACCAAAATCCATGCACACTCAAGTCCTTCCCTAAGGAACTCAGCATAGGAAAAGTCAGCCCTTCCTATATGTGGATTTCACATCCCACAAATACTGTATTTTCCATCGACCTTTGGTTGAAAAAATTTCCGGTATAAGTGGATCCACTCAATTCAAATCCACACTATCGAAGGGTGAATTATAATTAAAAGAAAACCCTATAGGACCAATCTCCTCAACTCCACCTATGTTTTGGGAAGAAGTGGAAGAATGTTGGGATCTCTTCTCTTCCTCTACAAAATAAGTATAAAACATGCTTTTTTTTTTTGAGACGGAGTTTTGCTCCTGTTGCCCAGGCTGGAGCGCAATGGCACAATCTGGGCTCACTGCAACCTCCACCTCCCAGGCTTAAGTGATTCTCCTGCCTCAGCCTCCCAGGTAGCTGGGATTATACGCATGCGCCACCACGCCCAGCTAATTTTTTGTATTTAGTGGAGACGGGGTTTCTCCATGTTGGCCAGGCTGTTATTGAACACCAGCGAACACCAAAACAAACCACTGGGGAACCACTTATTCCTTGATCCACCTCCATGAATCTTTTACTTAATGAGGCATGGAAATTGAATGCATTAAAGACACAATTTTTAGAATGTAACGTATTAGCCTTAAAATATGATTTAATATCCATAATAAGAATTCAAACACACAAACCACTCAGCTGAATTTCTAAAACACATTACAGGAAAATTATTGGCTACCCCTCCCTGCAGAGTACACGCCTATAATCCCAGCTACTCAAGGGCTGAGACAGAATTGCTTGAACCTGGGAGGTGGAGGTTGCAGTGAGCTGAGATTGCATCACTGCACTCCAGACTGGGCGACAGAGTGAGACTCTGTCTTAAAAAATAAAATAAAATAAAATAAAAATAGAGATGGGATCTTGCTATATTGCCCAGGCTGATCTCCTACTCCTAGGCTCAAATGATCCTCCCACCTAGGTCTCCCAAAATACTGGGATTACAGGTGTGAGCCACCCTGCTCAGCCCAAAACGTGCATTCTAAGATCATCATCAAAAGGTATAGTTTCTTGTACCTCTGCAGTTCTCAGAGTATGGTTCCTAGAGCAGTCAGCACTGGGAACTTGGAAATGAAATTATCTGGCCCCTCCCCAGACCCGCAGAATCAGAAACTCTGCAGGGAGGGGTAGCCATCTGCGTTCTCAAGCCTAGGTGATTCTGAGGTATGCTAGCCTTTGAGAACACCTGTCATAGGGAAATAATTTTCCTGTAATGTGTTTTAGAAATTCAGCTAAGTAGTTTGTGTGTTTGAATCCTTATTATAGACATTAAATCATATTTAAAGGCTAATATATTACATTCTAAAAATTAAGTCTTTAATGCATTCGATTTCCATGACTCATTAAGTAAAAGATTCACAGAGGTGGATCAAGGAATAGGTGGTTCCCTAATGGTTTGTTTTGTTGGTTCGTTGGTGTCTAAAGAAAAACAGTCCATGGAAGAGCCAACAGCAAAGAGAACAAATACACAAATTCCCATGTCCTGCAGGAAGAACTCGGCTTGTTTAGGGACCCTCCACAATTCCCCGACTGATTCCAACCACTTCTGTCTCTCTCCTCATGAACCCTGTAGATGCCCCTGGATCCACAAACCAAGAAATCTCAGTTAGGAGTCTTAGAGCTGTGAAGTGGATTTTTCAGGAAAATATTCACAAAGGCTGCCACGGTAACACTTTCTCCTTTTTTTTTTCTCTCTCCATTGGAACTTCCATTTTCACCATTAGAATAAAGAGAGGGAATGAAAGAATGACAGTATCTGTCTGGAATGATCACGGAAATGATTGCGCCTGGGTCATAAAGCAAATGATCAAGAATTAATAGCTCTGAATACATGCCAGTAGATTTGCAGTAATTATTTCATCTTATAGATTTAGAGCCTTAGAATCCTCCTCATTTTATAGATAGGGAAACTGAGGCTCTGAGAAAGAAAATGACAAGCCCGTGAGGTGCTAGTGAGAGGCAGGACCAGGAACAGAACGTGGCCATCTGACTCGGAGCCCAGGGCTTTGTCACCGCAACCTGCCTCCCTTAAGTCTCTGCCTCCTGCAGTAATAGCTAGATGGAACGCAGAAAGCCCTCCAAGTCCTAGGAACACACTATACATGGTAGCATTTGACTAGCCTTCCCTGCTCACACACACACACACACAAACATATTTGCTTGATGTGGAACAAGTTACAAAATTCTTTGGTGTACTTCTCAGTTCATGCGTCATCTTAATGTATAGACGGGCGTGAAAATAACCTCCTGTTTGTGAACCACAAGAGAGATTTCCTCTGGTTTTGCCCTCGGTGCCTTCAGAGAAAGAGTCTATGGGAAAGCCCCTCCTCGCTTCCCCTCTCTCTTCCTTTTGGACCTAGAAGCTGAGAACTCATTTTTCTTAGTCAGTCATTTTCACAGCCCAGTCTATGAAGAATGCTACTGCGTGATAAAATCCTCACTGAACTTCGGCAAAATGAGAAAAAGGGACGATGTAGCAAGTTTTTCATAAAGCCATGTTTCCGAAGTTTAAAGGACTGTCCTTTGTTTGAAATGAAGTCCTTCCTCTTTTGTCTGTATGTTAAAATACCATATTTAGAAATGAAATGATAGAAATAGATGATGGAAGTCACTTAATTAAATGGAAAAACCAAAAAGTTGGCCATTATATATTTGTTAATCTTCTTAATATTTCTAATCCATGAGATTCAAATGTCTATGAGAACAGGGCCAGGTATAGTGGCTCACGCCTGTAATGCCAGCACTTTGGGAGGCTGAGGAGGGCGAACCATCTGAGGTTGGGAGTTTGAGACCAGCCTGGCCAACATGGTAAAACCTCATCTCTACTAAAAATACAAAAATTAGCTGGGCATAGTGGCATATGTCTGTAATCCCAGCCACTCGGGAGGCTGAGGCAGGAGAATCGCTTGAACCTGGGAGGCAGAGGTTACAGTGAGCCAAGATCATGCCACTGCACTCCAGCCTGGCCAACGGAGCGAGACTCTGTCTCCAAAAAAAAAAAAAGTCTATGAGAAATGTCTTTAAGCCATTGCTTTTTTAAAAAGTGCTTCTTACCCATATGTGAAGAGCAAGTTTTTTCTTTCCAATCAGTTGTACAGTAACATTATTATAAAATATAATGAAAAGGATTAATTTTAAAAAAACCAAAATGCTGCCTGGATGTTGCAGTAATGTCAGATTGTTATAAAAGTTCCCCAATCTGCCCAATTTCTTCATTTTCTTACTGCAGACTATCGGTTAAATAGTTGGGAAAACAGCCCCCATCTGTAGGACACACCTGCAGTACATGAAGTTAGAACATCACACTCTTTGTAACACCAGACTCTGCAAGGATGTGATGAGAAAAGATATGGCCCAATCCATTTGGAAAATGCTGAGAAAATAATGCAGAAATTTCAGAGCCATTCATCTGGTGATACAGGGAGCAACATGCAATCTTTTTTGAACTTATTTGAACATAGAACAACCACCCCTATTTTTAGTAGTTCATCTCGTTCATGTCTTTCTCTTAACTCTCGTGTTTCATAGATCGCAGTTTGGGAAACCATGCTCTGAAACATAACAGCTGCCTGTTTTCTAGGAGAGAACATTGATGGCACACCCCCTAAGCCAGCTTTGCATTTAGAACACTGGGATGGGCCACACTGCAGAATGTGGATGTGTCTGTGTGCCCACATCTCTTCCTATAACTTTACTTCATCAAGAAGCAAAACTGGCAGGCGCGGTGACTCACGCCTGTAATCCCAGCACTTTGGGAGGCCGAGGCGGGTGGATCACGAGGTCAGGAGATCAAGACCATCCTGGCCACCATAGTAAACCTCGTTTCTACTAAAAATACAAAAATTAGCTGGACATGGTGGCACGTGCCTGTAATCCCAGCTACTCGGGAGGCTGAGGCAGGAGAATCACTTGAACCAGGGAGTCAGAGGTTGCACTGAGCTGAGATCGCACTACTGCACTCCAGCCTGGTGACAGAGCAGGACTCCATCTCAATAAATAAATAAATAAATAAATAAATAAATAAATAAATAAATTTGAAGGGTTTTTTTAGACCAAGGATTTGCAAACTATAGCTCATGGTCCAAATCCAACCTGCCACCTGTTCTTGTAAATAAAGTTTAATTGGGAGGCAGCCAAGCTCACTGGTTTCCTTTTTGGCTGCTTCTACAGGATGGCCTTCAGAGTCAGAAATATTTATCTGGTCAACCCCTGC
This sequence comes from Homo sapiens, assembly GCF_000001405.40. Taxonomy (NCBI): domain Eukaryota; kingdom Metazoa; phylum Chordata; class Mammalia; order Primates; family Hominidae; genus Homo; species Homo sapiens. The sequence goes on from NC_000006.12 coordinate 10,657,814, forward strand.
TCTTGCTTCATTTAGACACATTTTTTAAAAATCATACTTTACTTTTTATTTACACACAAGATTGATATAAATGAAATAAATTGGTCATTTCTTCACAACAAATATGCAAGAAAACATGGATTTGTGGTCATTTCTCTAAAAACAAATATTTGCTCTACTAAATTCAAATTTTGGCCCTGCTGATTTGTTTTCTGTGCCCTTTTCATTTCACTGCCAAATCATAGTGTCATCTTTTTGAAAATATTTTAAATAGGCTCAGCAATAAAGACCGGCTTCTCACATGGGATCACTGCTAGGGCTGGAGTCCTCTGACAATTCTATAGGGGAGGAAAGACATTTTTTTCCTATACCCTTCATAATTTTTAGGTGCCCTCCCCAGCATAATGAAAGATGGATTAACAACAGAAGAGCTGACATTTATTAACATGTATACATACCCACACCCAGAAGATACCCAGGGAAAAATGAATGACTCTCAGAGAGATGGCTTAGAACTCAGGCTTTAACACCATCTTCATCTCAAAGGAAATTGACGGAGGCAAGTTATGGAGAGGTTGAGCAGGAAAAGCACAGTAAGCAATGGTAAATTTCATCATGCAAATTTAAAAGTCAGCGCCTTCTCCATTGATGGGCATCTTTATTGATTTAATCCTCCTCTTTCTGGTGCAGAGGGAAACATCCTTATAAATGGAGATTTCCTTACGTGTAAAATTCTCTTACAAAAAGGTAACTTCAGCAGGGCGCGGTGGCTCATGCCTATAATCTCAGCACTTTGGGAGACCGAGGCTGGTGGATCATGAGGTCAGGAATTCGAGACCAGCCAGACCAACATGGTGAAACCCCGTCTCTACTAAAAATACAAAAATTAGCCGGGCGTGGTGGCGGGCGCCTGTAATCCCAGCTACTCAGGAGGCTGAGACAGAAGAATCGCTTGAACTCGGGAGGCGGAGGTTGCAGTGAGCTGAGATTGCGCCACTGCACTCCAGCCCGGGTGACAGAGCAAGACTCCATCTCAAAAAAAAAAAAAAAGGGGGGGGGGGTAACTTCTACTCTGTTTTCAGAGCTTGTCCTGTGTCTCCTGTTTCTCACTCAATCCTTATGCCAAGGAGGCATATTTTGGGGTGGCATATTCTGGTCTCCTGTGGTCACAAGATGGCCTCGTGACAGTCTGTCAGTTGGCACTGGCTGTCTACTGGGGCCTGTCAGTTCTCCACAAGGCCTCTCATCCTCTAGGCTTGAGTGGGCTTCCTCACACCAATGTTCCAAGAGAGCAGGCGCCACGTGTAAGAAAGGGCTTACCAAGCCTCTGCTTGCAACCTATTTGCCGATGGCTCATTGGCTAAAGCGAGTCACGCAGTCAAGGCCAGCAGTGATGCAAGAGGGGTCTCCTCAGGACATAGCTACTTGGAGGCGATTCACCTGTTCACCATGATATTGGAGGTGTTCACTATGATAATGTTACCATCTATCATAAGAAGGGAAGGAGGGGCCGGGCGAGGTGGCTAATGCCTGTAATCCCAGCACTTCGGGAGGCCGAAGTGGGCGGATCACGGGGTCAGGAAATCGAGACCATCCTGGCGAACACGGTGAAACCCCGTGTCTACTAAAAATACAAAAAAAGTAGCCGGACGTGGTGGTAGGAGCCTGTAATCCCAGCTACTCCGCAGGCTGAGGCAGGAGAATTGCTTGAATCTGGGAGGCGGAGCTTGCAGTAAGCAAAGATCGCACCACTGCACTCCAGCCTAGGCGACAGAGCTAGACTGCAGAAGAAAAAGAGAAAGAGAGGGGAGAAGGTGAGGAGGGGGAGAGGAGAGGGAGAGAGGGAGAGAGGGGGAGAGGAAGAGAGAGGGGAAGAGGGGGAGACGGGGAGAGGGGGAGGTGGCTCATGCCTGTAATCCCAGAGAGAGGTGACAGCTGCTGGCAGCCCTCGCTTGCTCTTGGTGCCTCCTCGGCCTCGGCGTCCGCTCTGGCCATGCTCAGGGAGCCCTTCAGCCCGCCTCTGCGCTGTCGGGGCCCCTCTCTGGGCTGGTTGAGGCCGGAGCCGGCTCCCTCAGCCTGCTGGGAGGTGTGGAGGGAGAGGCACGGAAAGGAACTGGAGCTGCGCGCGGCGCTTGCCGGCCAGCTAGAGTTCCGGGTGGGCGTGGGCTTGGCTGGCCCCGCACTCGGAGCGGCCGGGCGACCCCGCCGGCCTTGGGCAGTGAGGGGCTTAGCCCCCAGGCCAGTAGATGTGGAGGGTGCACGGGGTCCCCCAGCAGTGCCGGCCCACCGAGGCTGCGCTCGATTTCTCGCCAGGCCTTAGCTGCCTCCCCGCGGGGCAGGGCTCAGGACCTGCAGCCCGCCATGCGTGAGCCTCCCCTGCCCCACGCTGTCGGCTCCTGCAAGGCCCGAGCCTCCCCGACGAGCGTGGCTCTCTGCTCCGAGGCGCCCAGTCCCATTGAGGACCCAAGAGCAGAGGAGTGCGGGCGCAGGGAGCGAGACTGGCAGGCAGCTCCACCTGCGGCCCCAGTGCGGGATCCACTGGGTGAAGCTAGCTGGGCTACCCAGTCTAGTGGGGACTTGGAGAACCTCTATGTCTAGTCAAGGGAGGGTAAACACACCAATCAGCACTCTGTGTCTAGCTCGGGGTTTGTGGATGCACCAGTGGGCACTCTGTATTTAGCTAATCTGGTGGGGACTTGGAGAATCTTTATGTCTAGCTAAGGGATTGTGAATACAGCAATTGGCACTCTGTATCTAGCTCAAGGTTTGTAAATGCACCAATCAGCACCCTGTGTCTATTTCAAGGTTTGTAAATGCACCAATCTGCACTCTGTGTCTAGCTGATCTGGTGGGGACTTGGAGAACCTTTATGCCTAGCTAAGGGATTGTGAATGCACCAATCAGCACTCTGTGTCTAGCTCGGGGTTTGTAAATGCACCACTCAGCACCCTGTGTCTAGCTCAAGGTTTGTAAATGCACCAGTCAGTGCTCTGTGTCTAGCTAATCTAGTGGGGACTTAGAGAACTTTTGTGTCTAGCTCAAGGTTTGTAAACGCACCAATCAGCACCCTGTCAAAACGGACCAATCAGTTGTCTGTAAAACAGACCAATTGGCTCTCTGTAAAATGGACCAATCAGTAGGATGTGGGTGGGGCCAGATAAGAGAATAAAAGCAGGCCGCCGGAGCAGGCGGTGGCCATTTGGTGAGGTTGTGTTATGTGGTGTGGGTGGTTTGTTTTTACTTTGTAATGAATTTTACTGTTGCTCAATGTTTGGGTCAACACTGCCTTTGTGAGTTATAACACTCACTGCGAAGGTTTGCAGTTTCAATAATGAAGCCAGTGAGACTGTAAACCCACTGGGAGCAACTAATAATGCGTCGCCCTAACAGCTGGGACGCCCACCACAAAGGTCTGTAGCTTCAGTCCTGAGCTAGAGACCACGAACCCACTAAAAGCAAAAAAACTGAACGCAGCTGAGCTATCAGTAGGGAGAAACGCTGGTGGACACGCTGCCTTTAAGAACTGTAACACTCACTGTGAGGTTCCATAGCTTCATTTTGGAAGTCTAGACCAAGAACACGCTAATTCTGGTCACGCTAGCACTTTGAGAGGCCAAGGTGTGTGGATTACTTGAGGCCAGGAGTTCAAGACCAGCTTGGCCAGCATGGTAAAACCCTGTCTCTACCAAATATACAAAAATTAGCCTGGCGCATGGCAGCACGTTCCTGTAATCCTAACTAGTGGGGAGACTGGCAGGAGAATCATTTGAACCGGGGAGGTAGAGACTACAGTGAGGCGAGATTATGCCACTGCACTCCAGCCTGGGAGACAATAAGACTCCATCTCAAAAAAAAAAAAAAAAAAAATCCCAACCCTTTTCTTGTTACAGCAATCTCAAGGGAGTTTAGATTCCCCCATAAGATAACATAAAAACCTTTTTATAGGAACAGCATATAGTTCTGATATAACAATCTTGGTGCATCCACTAGTTCTTTGTCTAGTATTAAAATCCATTTTTAAAGTTTCTTTGAGCTTCAAGAATAAAGGTGCAAAGCCCATTCTGTTCCTTTTTCAACTTCTCCAGAAGTTTTCCCTTTTGCCTATTTCTTGCTATTAGAGAAGATTCTGGTTAAGACGACTCTGGTTAAACAAAGCATTCATATAACAAGTTTCCCTTTAGGTTGGTCTAACAATGCAGGCATCTCCATCATGGTCCACATTCTGAAAAGGTAGCAAGGGGTGAATCCTTACCCCTTTTGGCAGCGGTGGGATCAAGAATGGTTGTGGAGTAGATATATTTCAGGAAGCTCAAGCAGTCTATGCCTAAGGTCTGGCAGGCATCTTGATTCTGCCAGACCCATGACCTAACCACACACAATGATGCTATCCCAGTTTCTTCCTTTTCAGTGAATAGAACAACTAACCATGCTATTACTCAAGCCAAAAAATCCTAGGGGTAACTCTGGATTCTGCCTATCTCCCTCATCACAATCAAAAAGCTGACATTTTGTCAAGAGTCATTTGAACCAGAGCGACTCCATCTTGAATAGGGGCTGGGTAAAACAAGACAGACTACTGGGCTGCATTCCTAGGAGGTCAGGCATTCTTAGTTACAGGATAAGACAGGAGGTCCGCAGGACTGATATCACAAGATACGGGTCATAAACACTGGTGATAAAACAGGAGGTGGTGGTTGGGCGCGGTGGCTCGCTTGCTAGTGATCCCAGCACTTTGGGAGGCCGAGGTGGGCCGATCACTTTAGGTCAGAAGTTTGAGACCAGCCAGACCAACATGGTGAAACCCTTACCTCTACTGAAAATACAAAAAAGTAGCCGGGCATGGTAGCACGCATTTGCAGTCCCAGCTACTCGGAAGGCTGAGGAAGGAGAATTGCTTGAACCTGGGAGGCGGAGGTTGCAGTGAGCTGAGATTGCACCACTGCACTCCAATTTGGGCAAGAGTGAGACAGTGTCTCAAAAAAACAAAAAAAACCGGGAGGTGCTAAAGAAGCCAACCAAAACCAATATGGCAAGAAAGTGACCTCTGGTCATCCTCATTACTCATTATGCACTAATTATAATGCGTTAGCATGATAAGAAACTCCCACCAGCACCATGACAGTTTACAAATGCCATGGCAACATCAGGAAGTTACCCTATATGGTCTAAAAGGAGGAGGAACCCTTAGTTCCAGGAAATCCCTACCCCTTTTCTGGAAAACTCATTAATAATCCATCCTTGTTGAGCATATATTCAAGAAATAAGCATAAAGATAGCTTATCTCTATGCTATTTTTATGTCTATGGTGTAGCTATTCTTTTGTTCCTTTCTTAATAAGCCTGCTTCCACTTTACTGTATGGGCTTGCCCCAAATTCTTTTCTTGCGTTAAGATCCAAGAACCCTCTCTTGGGGTCTACTCTGGGACCCCTTTTTAGTAATAATTTTATCTCTAAAATGCACCTTAAAGTTCTCCACCTCTCTCCGTATACACCACATCCACCCTGGAATTAAACTCCAGTCTCTAGGCCAGGACAGCTGCAGTAGTTTCCTAACGGCTCTCTGTCTCTCCTCCCATCTCCCTCCACACTATGTTCCATAGAACAGCTGGAGTGAGTTTTCCTTCAAGTTCAGGGGTACATATGCAGGATATGCAGGTTTGTTACAGAGCTAAATGAGTGCCGTGGTGGTTTGCTGCAAAGATCATCCCATCACCTAGGTATTAAGCTATTCTTCCTGATGCACTCCCCAACCCCTCCAACAGGCCCCAGTGTGTGTGTTGTTCCCCATGTGTTCTCATTTTTCATTTCCCACTTATAAGCAAGAACACGTGGTATTTGGTTTTCTGTTCTTGCATTAGTTTGCTGTGGATAATGGCTTCCAACCCCATCCATGTCCCTGCAAAGGACATGATCTCCTTCCTTTTTATGGCTGCAGAGTATTCCATGGTGTATATGTACTACATTTTCTTTATCCAGTCTATCATCGATGAGCATTTAGGTTAATTCCATGTCTTTGCTATTGTGAATAGTGCTGCAATGACATGTGCATATGTCTTTTCAATAGGATGATTTGTATTCCTTTAGGTACATACCCAGTAATGGGATTGCTGGGTCAAATGGTATTTCTGCCTCTAAGTCTTTTTTTTTTTTTTTTTTTTGAGACAGAATATGGGCTCTGTCGCCCAGTCTGGAGTGCAGTGGTGCGATCTCGGCTCACTGCAAGCTCCGCCTCCCAGGTTCATGCCATTCTCCTGCCTCAGCCTCCCAAGTACTGGGACTACAGGCGCCCGCCACCACACCCGGCTAATTTAAGTCTTTGAGGAATCACCACCACACTGTCTTCCACAATGGTTGAACTAATTTACACTGCCACCAACAGTGTAAAAGCGTTCCTTTTTCTCCACAACCTTGCCAGCATCTGTTGTTTATTGACTTTCTAATAATAGCCACTCTGACTGGTGTGAGATGGCATCTCGTTGTGGGTTTGATTTGCATTTCTCTAATGATCAGTGATGTTGAGCTTTTTTGCATATGTTTGTTGGCCGCGTCTATGTCTTCTTTTCAGAAGTGTCTGTTCATGTCCTTTGCCCACTTTTTATGGGTTTTGTGTGTGTGTGTGTGTGTGTATTTGTTTAAGTTCCTTGTAGACTCTGGATATTAGACCTTTGTGAGATGGATAGATTGCAAAACTTTTCTCCCATTCTGTAGGTTGTCTGTTTATTTTGACGATAGTTTCTTCTGCTGTTTCTTTTGCATTTTAGTTTAATTAGATCCCATCTGTCAGTTTTTGCTTTTGTTGCAATTGCTTTTGGCATTTTTGTTATGAAATCATTGCCTGTGCCTATGTACTGAACGATATTGCCTAGATTTTCTAGGGTGTTTATAGTTTTGGGTTTTATGTTTAAGTATTTAATCCATCCTAAGTTAATCTTTGTATACGGCGTAAGGAAGGGGACCAGTTTCAATTTTCTGCATGTGGCTAGCTAGTTCTTCCAGCACCTTTTATTGAATAGGGAATCCTTTCCCCATTGCTTGTTTTTGTCAAGTTTGTTGAAGATCAGATGGTTGTAGATGTGTGGTCTTATTTCTGAGTTGTCTATTCTGTTCCATTGGTCTATGTGTCTTTTCTTGTACAAGCCATGCTGTTTTGGTTAGTGTAGCCTTGCAGTATAGTTTGAAGTCAGGTAGTATGATGCCTCCAACTTTGTTCTTTTTGCTTAGGATTGTCTTGGCTATACGTGCTCTTTTTTGGTTCCATATGAACTTTAAAATAGTTTTTCTAATTCTATGAAGAATGTCAATGGCAGTTTAAGCGAAATAGCATTGAATCTATAAATTACTTTGGGCAGTATGGCCATTTGCATGATATTAATTATTCCTATTCATGAGCATGGAATGTTTTTCCATTTGTTTGTGTCCTGATTTCTTTTTTTTTTTTTTTGAGACAGAGTTTCACTTTTGTCACCCAGGCTGAAGTGCAGTGGCGTGATCTCGGCTCACTGCAACCTCCACCTCCCAGGTTCAAGTGATTCTCCTGCCTCAGCCTCCCGAGTAGCTGGGATTACAGGCACCCGCCACCACACCTGCCTAATTTTTTGTATTTTTAGTAAAGATGGGGTTTTGCTGTGTTGGGCAGGCTGGTCTCAAACTCCTGACCTCAGGTGATCCACCCACCTCAGCCTCCAAAGTGCTGGGATTACAAGCCTGAGCCATTGCGCCCAGCCCCTCTCTGATTTCTTTGAGCAGTGGTTTGTAGTTCTAGAAAAGCTCCTTCACTTCCCTTGTAAATTGTATTCCTAGGTATTTTTTCCTTTCTGCAGCAATTGTGAATGGGAGTTGATTCATGATTTGACTCTCTGCTTGGATGTTGTTGGTATATAGGAATGCTAGCAATTTTTATACATTGATTTTGTATCCTGAGACTTTGCTGAAGTTGCTCATCAGCTTAAGTAACTTTTGGGCCGAGATGATGGGATTTTCTTGATATAGAATCATGTCATCTGCAAACAAAGATAATTTGACTTCCTCTTTTCCTATTTGAATACCCTTTATTTCTTTCTCTTGCCTGATTGTCCTGGACAGAACTTCCAATATTATGTTGAATAGGAGTGAGAGAGGGTATTCTTGTCTTGTGCCAGTTTTCAAGAGGAATGCTTCCAGCTTTTGCCCATTCAGTATTATATTGGCTGTGGGTTTGTCATATATGGCTCTTCTTATTTTGAGGTACGTTCCTTCAATACTTAGTTTATTGAGAGTTTTTAGCATGAA